>NC_000006.12:2938787-3090303 GCF_000001405.40 Homo sapiens | reverse complement strand
GCAGGGGGGCGGGGTGGTCTCCATTCCTCTTAGTTGATTGGTTCCTAACTGGGCCTTGTCATGCCCCTCTAACCCCAGAAACCACCTCCTTGCTTCAGTCTTGGGCAGATGCTGCTGCCATCTGTTGCTAAGTACAGGGGAAGGAGGGAGAGAAGCCGACTTTCCTAAATAGCATAAATGAGGTTCTCAGATGACTCCCCTGTCAACATCCCAGGTGACTGTGCTGTTGCTTCTGCACACTGACCCAAGACTGCCCCTCCGGTACTTCTTCCTCAGCATTATGTCTTGGGCTAGTATTCCTTGTCTGTTATATGTCTCAGCAGAATAATTCTGTGGTCTTTCTATCTTTCAAGAATTCCTCAAAATGGCTGATCCACTTATGGTACTTTCCAATCTTTGCCAGTGACATTGTGCTTTTGTTTTCATATTGCTATATATGTTTTCTCTCATTTCATGAGTTTTGAAGGAGAAATGGGTCCAGTATGCCAACAGGATGATATGTGCAGACAATTGCTCATTTTGTTTTATATGTTTACCAAGCTAGCTTACCTCAAATCTCAATAACAAATCACTTTGTTTTGGTTTTCATGATTGACAGTATATATTTTGCTATGTTAATATTTTGAGCATCTGCTATATTGCCTACCTTTAAACTCTTCACGTCCTCTTCTACACTTTCTTCTAATTGACTTAAATAAAAAGGCCTAAATTTTTCTTCAATGCCTGTAAAAGTAAAATGTACTTTAAATTTCTTAATTATTTTCTAACATAAAATAAAAATATTAGCCATCTATTATCTTTGAATTACTTACCTCAATCTGTGGGCAAAGCTTAAATAAAAATTTAAGCTCCAAATCACTGACTCTGATAGAGACTAATAAGATTAATAGACAGAACAAGGGATAGGCTAACACAGGAAACCAGGGGTTTCTGCCTCAATAGCCTGTGCTCTTTGTGCTTTTTATTCGTGCTGCAGTTTCTCTGGCTGCAACACAAACTGCTCCCTGATGTGAGTTCATCTCCAGCTGAACAGGGATGGGCGAACTCCATGTTTCTGTTCCTCTGGCATCAAATTTATGAGAGATTGGGATAGTCAGAGGAAGGATTTAGTGTAATGGGTTACAGCTGTTAGCCTTAAAAGAAAAAAGAAACTTCCAGTTCCAGGAAGATGGAGTGGACATACTTTTTTCTTAATCTTCCTTCTAAGTACAACAAAAACATCCTATATATTATTTATAAAACAAACATACAGAGTCTCTGAAAGGAGAAGAGAAGGAGGCAGACCAGCAGGAAACCTCGGGATCAGATGAAACACACGATAGTGAGTTCACTGGATTTTCTCTTTTCCTCATATATCTCAGACTTGGCTGAAAAGGTGGCAACCTCAAACCATCAAGAGCCACAGATAAAAAAAAATCTCCAACTAAAGCCTGCTCTTTCTAGCCAAAGAACTAAGCAAGGGGCAGCAAGGGACAGACAGAAAACCTTTAGCCAGTCTACAGCCATGCCATCCTGAATATGCCCAAACTTGTCTGATCTTGGAAGTTAGGCAGGGTCAGGTCTGGTTAGTACTTGGATAGGAGAAAACTTTTAGTCAGCAACCACTCTGTTCCAGCCAACCACCACAGAAAAAACCCTGTGGCTCCAACCCCACCCACAGCAGCTAAGGCCAAGTGGAGAGCCTCAACATCCAACCGCATGAGACAGTAACAACGTAACCCAACACCCCCACCGGGGTAATGTCAGAGAAGGCCCAACAGGAAGCCAGGGCTGTCCTACCTGCCAGCTGATAATGAGCGCCTCCACTCCCATGGTGTCAGGAGAACACAAGAATAGCCTGGATTTGCCCCACATGGCAGTAACAAGACCACCCTTCCCTTCCCCACTGGGGAAGTGTCAGAGGAGGTCTAGTGGAGAATCGGGACTTTTAACATTGTCCAGTAGTAATGAGGTACCTTCACCTCTGTGTCAGTGGGGACCGTGTGGACTCTGCCAGAATTCCCACCCCTGATCAGCAGTGAAGAGGAGCCTCTGACCTTAGGTGTCAATAAGGGCTGAGTCGAGAGGCTGAACTTCTACCTCTACCCAGCACTAATAAGGTGGCCACCACTCTTCCCTTGTCAGAGCAGTGTCAGGAAAGTTCAGTTAAAACAGAAGGCTTAAAGAGGATACAGAATCTCCAAACATAGGAAGAAAATGTACAAGTTTCAACAGAAAAATTACCCATTACATTAAGAATCAGAAACTGAATGAAATAAGACAATCAATAGATGCCAATACTGAGATGACAGCAATGTCAGAATTACCTGTCAAGGATTTTAAAACAGCCATGATAAAAACGATTCAATTAATAGTTATGAACCTGCTTGAAACAAATGAAAAATAGAAAGTCTCAGCAAAAAAGGGGAGAATATAAATTTTAGAGCTGAAAACTTTAATGACCAAAACATAATAAAAAGCTCGGTAGGCCGGACACAGTGGCTCACACCTGTAATCCCACACTTTGGGAGGCCGAGGCGGGCTGATCACAAGGTCAGGAGATGGAGACCATCCTGGCTAACACGGTGAAACCCCGTCTCTACTAAAAATACAAAAAATTAGCCAGGTGTGGTGGCGGGTGTCTGTAGTCCCAGCTACTCGGGAGGCTGAGGCAGGAAAATGGCGTGAACCCAGGAGGCAGAGCTTGCGCCACTGCACTCCAACCTGGGCGACAGAGTGAGAGTCCGTGTCAAAAAAAAAAAAAAGCTCAGTAGACAGGTTCAACTGTGGAATCGAGGAGAAACAGAAAAATCAGTGAACTGGAAGACAGAATGATAGAACTTACCCAGTCTGAATAAGAGAGAGAAAATTAACTGAAAAAAACAAACAAAAACAAAAAAAACAAAAAAAACACAAAGCCTCAGGGACCTGTGGGACTATAACCATAACCAAAGATATAGTTTTTATGTTGTCAGAATTCCAGAAAGAAAAGAGAAAGAGGGTGGGGGTTAAAAAGTACTTACAGAAATAATGGCTGAAAGCTCCCCAAATATGGTTTAAGAGGCATAAACCTACAGATTTAAGAAGCTGAGCAAAACCTAAACAGAATAAACCCAAAGGAATCCACACCAAGATAAATAACAACTAAATCTCTGAAAAATAAAGACAAAGTCTTGAAAGCAGCAAGAGAAAAATAACACCTTCCCTATAAGGAAAAAAATTTTAGAATGACAGAGTTCAGACATATCCTAAAAGAATGATTAAGGAAAGTTCTCTAAACAGAAAGGAAACAATAAAAGAAGACACCTTGGAGAATCAGGAAGGTTTGATTTTGTTCATGGCAGGTAGCACCTAAAATCCTTGGAGTCTTCTAAGAGTGTCTTTTGGGTGGGGTCAGAAAACTAGGCAACTTCAGAATGGGGGCTAGCAACCAGAAAGACCAAGCTATAATTAGAAGGTTGGGACTTTCAGCTCCACCTTTGACTTCCAGTGAGGAGAGAGGGACTGGAGATTAAGCTCAAGCACCAATGACCATGATTTAGTCAGTCATGCGTATGTAATGGAACTTCCATAAATCACCTTAAACGGTGAGGCTTGGAGAGCTTGAGGTTGCTGAACACACAGAAGCACTGGAATGCGGTGTGTCTTGAAAGGCTATGGAAGTTCTATACACCCTCCTCCCATACCTCACCTTGTACATCTCTTCCATTTGGCTGTTTCTGAATTGTACCCACTGCAGTAAAAGGGGAGACGTAAGTAAAATGTTTTCTTGAGTTATGTGAGTCTTTCTAACGAATTACCAAACCTGAAGTGGGGCTTGTGGGAATACTCAAATAAATTTGTAGCTGACTAAGCAGAAGTGTGAGGAGCCTGGGTACCCCATGCTGGTGAGGATACAAGAACCTGCATCACTCGGACACCGAACATAAAATGGCACAGCCCCTCTGGGAAAATGTTAGGGAATTTTTAAAATAAACTGTACATGAAACTACCATACAACCTAGCTATTGTACCCCTGGGTATTACTCCAGAGAAATGAAGACTTATATTCACACAAAAACATGTCCACGAATATTTACAGCTGCATTAGTCCCAACAGTTAAGAACTGGAAACAAGTCTTTCAAGGAGTGAGTAGTTAACCAAACCGTGGTACATCCACACCATAGAATACTGCTCAGCAAACATCCCGGCACCTTTCCTCATCCCTGTATGACAAGGCCAATCTAGACGGCAAAATACTTTCTAAAGATGCCAGCTAAACAAGGGAGGGGATGGAAATAAAAGAAGTGAAGAAGCAAGAAGGCTGGTCAAAGCCACCTAAGTGCCCATAGACGGACGAATGGATAAACAAAATGCACTCCATTCATACAATGGAATATTATTCAGCCTTGAAAAGGAAAGAAATTCTGACATATGCTACAACACAGATGAACCTCGAGGACATCATGCCAAGTGGAGTAAGCCAGACACAAAAGGACAAATACTGTATGATTCCACTTATATATAAGGCACCCAGTGCAGTTAAATTCACAGAGACAGAAAGTAGGATAGGGGCTGCCAGGGGCAGGGAGAGAGACGATGGAAAGTGAATGTACTATGGGACTGTACTTACTGCCCCTGAACAGTGCACTTGAAAACAGTTACAATGTTAAATTTCATGTTACGTATATTTAAACCCAAGTTAAAAAGTTAATTACAAAAAAAGGAAACAAGAAGGCCTTATGTGCCATCATGCTTTTGAGAGAGAGGGCTTCTTTGCACTGAATAACATGTTTGAAATCTAGAAAATCAGTTTAAAACCACAAGTCAAGTCGAACTCAGTTTTCTGAGGATTCAAACCAAGTTCCTAACAATATGTTACTAGGAAAATCACCACACAGGATGCATCCTACACAGTCAGAAAAGATGCTCTTACCAGGAAATGTCGGCCGAGCTTCCGGATTCGCTTCCCAGCAGAGCTTCATGAGACTGATAATTTCTCTTGGGCAGTACTCAGTGATGTCATCCACATCTGGCCTGTTCCCAGATTTTATGCACATTATCAACTGCTGCTCACAGATAGCATCTACAAAGCAAAGACTTTCTTTCAGGTCTTGCTCCTCTCTCAGGCAGGAAGGTGACAGAACTTGAACAATACTGCTCATTTTTCTCAGCCTCTGGTACAGCTGCCTCATTCCATAGAGTGGAATGGCCTTATGACAAGGAGCTGACATATTCCACTACAGAGATGACCAAACAATATCTTAATGTCTGCAGATAAAACAAAATTCTCGACAAAGCTGCCTGCTGATGGAACAAAAAGATTATGTGGGCAAGGCCAATGGCATGCTCCATGTGCAAAAGCAAATACAGGGCAGTCCTTGTCTTTAGGAGCTCAGTTTAATGAGAGTGACTTAAAACACAGAGTGATCATTGCTATTCAAGAAGGCTGAGGCTGGGCATGGTGGATCACACCTGTAATCCCAGCACTTTGGGAGGTTGAGACAGGCGGATCATGACGTCAAGAGATCAAGACCATCCTGGCCAACATGGTGAAACCCCGTCTCTACTAAAAATATAAAAATTAGCTGGGCATGGTGGTGTGCACCTGTAGTCCCAGCTACTCGGGAGGCTGAGGCAGAAGAATTGCTTGAACCTGGGAGGTGGAGGCTGCAGTGAGCCGAGACTGCACCACTGCACTCCAACCTGGCGACAGAATGAGACTCTGTCTCACGGGAAAAAAAAAAAAAAAAGGATGTACAAGGGGTTCCAGTAGCACAAACCTGACTAAAAAGGTCCAGGAAGGCTTTGTTGAGTCCAGAAAAATTAGCAGGTAAAGAATGGGAAAGGGAGACTTAAGGAGGAGGACTCCAGGAAGAGAAGCAGGATATCAACAGACTAGAAGTTACAGAGATCATGACGCATCCCACAAATTCCTCAGTGTAACTGCACACTGACAAAGAAGGGAGGGTTAGGGACGAGGCCAGTAGAGAAGCAAAGGCCAGAACATGAAGGCCTTTTATTCCACGCTGAGGAATTCGAACTTCATCCTGAAGACCACAGAGCATCTGGGAAGGATTTCCAATATGTGAGGGAGAGGGTTGCATGTGCCTTTTAGGACGACCATTTTGGCTGCCACATGAATGGTGGACGGTGGAAGGAGCCTGCTGCAGAAACGAGGAGGGTTTGAACTGAGCAGAGGCCAGTGGAGACAGAGAAAGGCAGATGGGTTGCAGATATATCTTGAGTCATACATATATCTTGAATTCACAGGTTTTGAGATCTGATAGAATGTGGGAGAGAGGGGCAAGGGCGAGTCTGGGATGACTCTGAAGTTTCTTATTGGGCAACAACTTGGTAAAAGGATGGCGATGCCACTTCCCAAGCATATGAAGAGGGGTGAAGCGGGGCGAGCTGCAGGACAGTGTCGACAGGATGTGTTTGGGGGATGCTGCTTTGGAGGTTCCTCTGGTACCTGCGATGGATCTGACTGTAAGACAAGTGGATATCCATTCCAGAGCCAGAGACACAGATTTAAGAAGCATTTGCAAAGAGATGATCATCAAACCATGGGAGCTGATGATCACCCAAGAAGAGTATGTAGGACAACATCCATCAGTTTATGCACTTAACAAACTGCAGAGTGTCTCTATCCTACACAAGCCACGACTTACTCATCTTTATATTCCCAATGCCGACTCAAGTGCCCACAGTAGGGACTGAAAAGAAATAATTCTTGAATGAAGGAGCAAGTGAATGAGTGAAAGTATGAAGTGTATGCCTTGTAGTGTGAAAGGCTAAGTCCTCACAAGCAGAAACAATCAACTTTCCTGTCTAGGAAGAACCCTGGAATTTCACAGCACCTCTCCAGCTAATGACACACTATCGAGGTTCCTATTCATCCTATGATCACTGATTCCTAAATGGGATTACTCATTCATTCAACAAAAATTTACTGGGCACCTATTAGTTCCAGGCACAGTGCGTGTAGATGCTGAGGGGACGGCAGTGGAAAGTAAGTAATGCCTTACTTTCATATGGCTCCTTATTTGCAAATATCGCCCAGAGTACTACAGCAAAGCTGTACACATCCGACTTCTCTGTGGGCTTTGCGTTGACGTCATTCAGGTGCTCGGGCGCCATGTAGTAGAGGGTGCCGCCATTCTTCTTAGCGGTGCCGTCCACTTCCCTCAGCTCATTGTGCTCTTCATTATTCAGTTTGCTCCACATCTTAAAGGAGGCAAGGCCGAGGTCTGCGATCTGCGAAAGACATTGAGCCACTGGGATTGTTTGGTGAAGGCCGTAAGCAAATCAGATCTGACTTTCAATTTTGGGCTTATCCATTATACATAAGGTACGGTAAATTTTCCAGAAATGGTTGCACTGGGCAGGTTCAAAACAGCGACTTCTCAACAGACTCATAGAAACTGTGTGTCTCCTCAGCCATTTGTAAAATGTCGCCCAGGAAACGTTCACATGAAATTCTGGTATCGTATTCCTTATGCAGTAAGGGGGAGGGGAAAAGCGGAAGATGTTTCTGACAAGAACAGTAACAACCAAACATATTTATTCTCATTCCCCATTGACTCTGCGTATGTTTTTCAACTATTTCTAGGGCTTGGGGGGAAAATGGTTATTTTCTTCTCTGCACATTTATGCAGCAGACAGTGGCTAAATACTACACCTTCTATTTCCCCAAATGGCGTCCAGAGGCCCATGGATGCAAGTGTCCAAGGATCCCAAAGACACACTGAGGATAAGGACTGCAGTGTTGCTTGTTTTGAGCTGTAGCCTGAACCTAAGAGGAGATAGGGTGGAAAGGAGGAGAAAAACAGACAAAAAAGCAGAGAGAAAAATAGCAAGGTCAGACACAGAACAAGAACAGTGCTGGCAGGGCAAAATGACAGGGCAGCACAGTTCAGAAGAGAATATAGGTGCCAGTTCCACTTCTGCCTCCAGGAATCCAAGCAAGCATGTGGGGATGAACTGTGGCACATGAGTACCTAAAATTCACAGATTCTAACCCACGACATAAGAGGGAAGTCATGAATTTGAAGATAGGTTATGAATAAGGAATTTTTATTCCCAGCCCTTTGTCCAAGACTAGGACAAAGCGCTAGACGCAGAACCTGCTGGTGATGAGAGGCCCCTGTGTCAGCAGCTCCTGGGTGCCTCCCCCAGGGCTGCTTCCCCTTCCGCTTCCCCTTTTGGATTCTTGTGCTTGGATTCCTGCTGCAGAAGCCAATTAGATATGACACTCCCCCTAGCTAAATCCTGCCCTTGAATGAACAAAAGAAAAATCCCTTTCCCTTGTTCCCTTTACGACAATGGAAAGAATGTGTTCAAAGGAAACTGATTTTTAAAATACAGACAGAAGTAAACAATCGAATACAAATATAAAACAAAATTTCAAAGTAGAGGTTTTTGATGCACTGCTGATTTTTTTTTTTTTTTTTTTTTTTTTTTTTTTTTTTTTTTTTTTTTAAGGCAGAGTTTCGCTCTTGTTGCCCAGGCTGGAGTGCGATGGCACAATCTCGGCTCACCACAACCTCCACCTCCCCGGTTCAGGCGATTCTCCTGCCCCAGCCTCCCGAGTAGCTGGAATTACAGGCATGCACCACCACGCCCGGCTGATTTTGTATTTTCAGTAGAGATGGGGTTTCTCCATGTTGGTCAGGCTGGTCTCGAACTCCCGACCTCAGGTGATCCGCCCACCTCAGCCTCCCAAAGTGCTGAGATAACAGGCGTGGGCCACTGCACCCGGCCGCTGATCTCACTCTTAGGCCATATCTGAACTCTAAGGATTTTCCGCACACACCTTCACATTCCCCTGCATTTCCAGAGGAGGAGAGTCTTGGTGACACAGATTTCCTGGAGAACATTATGACACCAATGGCCCATTCCAGGATGAAAAGGGCAACCCTTGAATGTTTCTAAATGTTTCTAACAGAGGAAAAAACACAGTCTAGGAAAGAGGTCTTCTCATCTACCCCATTCAACTCCACTCCTCCCCCAAAAGATATGAGTTATCCTGACAGTTATCTCCTGATCCCATCAAGCCTGCAGCCTTCCTCTCAATCACCGGTAGAGCCTTTCGGCACCATCATCAACAGTTATAAGCTGAGCTAGGTCTTCCTTTAGCTTCTCCAATGTACGAGAATGGATTTACATTGGAGAATTAAAACTAAAATCACCCAACTTTCTGGAAGCCTACCGATGATGGTTTACCTTAATGTGGAAGTCATTATCAACAAGGATATTTTCAGGCTTCAGGTCCTTGTGTATCACGCCTTTTCCATGTAAGTAGCACATTCCTTCAATGATTTCCAAAATTATCCTTCCTTTTACAGAAAGCGGAGTACTCATCTAAAACAAGTGATATTAAGTCTATGAAATGGAAAGGTTATCAAATAGGCCAAAGCAACTGTTTCATGAAAGGGTGGTGGGATCTGAGCCTGAGGAGAAGGTTACCAGGTTTCCTTCCAGCAGGTGCACCACAGTACTGCTGTCACTGGGAAACAAGAAAGATTTCATTCGGGGGGGGGCAGAGGGTATTCGTGTTGTATTTTGTTAGTGTAAAAACAAAAATCCCACAATAATTTGGTAATGCATAAAATACTATAAAATTAAGCTCCTTGAGAACAAAAATATATATTATTTAGGACTGTATCTTTAGAACCTAGGATTGTACCTGGAATGCTTGTTGAATGAATGGATGAATAAATATACGAGCAAGCAGTTTCTGTGGGATACTCACACGACATCATACTAAGTTTACATTAAGGACATGAACAATGCCATGCAAATGTCGCGTGTAAAATAACATTAAGAGAAAAAAGAATACAAGGGAACATGTTCACACTGATTACAATCATAGAAAAATCTGAGATAAACATGATGTTAAAACTACGCTTAAGTGAATTAATATCTATTTGATGACCTGGTAGCAGATACTTCAGGCTTCTGTAGAGTCTCAGGTCACTGGTTCTTATAATTGTATTCTTGTTATGTGAGCATCAATACTAACAGAAACAATTCCAGTTTCTATTATAGTGGTTAAATTACAGTTTTGCTTAACAATAAAAAATCAGTATACAAACAAGATGTTTCCTAAAAATGTATATGTATTTTGGTCGTTGGTTAACAGGAAAAAAATTTTAATGATAGAAGTGAGATTCCCCCTCAAACCATATTTATGACATAACGTAGCAGAGCTACACTGTTAATAGCTTGATCACCACCATACAGAAAGTAGCAGAAAAGATGTTTTCTCTTCTTCCTTGGTATACCTTTGGACTTAGGAAAAACTTCTGAGTAAGCAAAGTTGGTCCCCCTCTCTCCTCTCTTTCTGCTTCTCTCTCAGGTCCTCCTGATGCCCTGACTGAGTCCAAACAGGTGCACCTGAACTTTCCCTCATCTTGCACAATGCCTCATGTCCCCAATGATTTCTCTCTCATCTCAGAAGCTAAGCAGGGTTGGGCCTGGTTAGTACTTGGATGGGAGACCAAAGACTTATTTCCCAATCAAAATGTTTACTTCAAACAGCTGATCTTCTCTAGTTCTGGGGTGGAGAGCAATCTGATCAAACTATAATACCATGCGTATAAGTGATCACCTCTTCTCCTTCCCAAGGGTATTTTTGTGAGATGTCTGTTGGCTTGGCAATTGTGGGGTGGGAGAAGAAAGTGGAAAAGTGGGAGTATTTGCCATAAAGGCAGCCATATCCCGCCACCCCTCCCCATACCCTGTGCAATCTATGCTCTAGCCAAACCCAGGAATTTACAGTTCCCCAAATTTGGCAGTCTCTACATGGTATTCTCTCTGCCTAGAACACTTGTTCTCTAATTCTCTGCTTCAAAACGTCTACATGTCCTTCACATTGGAAGCCTTTTCTGTCTATTCCAGGCTGAGTGGGTGCCTCTCATGTGTACTCCCTCAGCAATGAGTATGTCTATCAAAACACCATCAGCTGGGAACGGTGGCTCATGCCTGTAATCCCAGAACTTCGGGAGGCCAAGGCAGTCGGATCACGAGGTCAGGAGTTCGAGACCAGCCTGACCAACATGGTGAAAACTTGTCTCTACTAAAAATTAAAAAAATAGCCAGGCATGGTGGTAGGCGCCTGTAATCCCAGCTACTCAAGAGGCTGAGGCAGGAGAGTTGCTTGAACCAGGGAGGTGGAGGTTGCAGTGAGCCGAGATTGCACCATTGCACTCCAGCCTGGGCGACAGAGCGAGACTCCTCTAAAAAAAAAAATACCACCACACAGCTGGGTGCAGTGGCTCATGCCCATAGTCCCAGCTACTCAGGAGGCTGAGGTGAGAGGATCATTTAAGGCCAGGAGTTCAAGCCTGCAGTGCACTATGATTGTGCCACTGCACTCCAGCCTGGGCAACACAGTGAGACCTTGTTCTCTTACAAAAGAAAAAAAAAAAACCCCATCACACCATACCACTTATTTAGCTATCTGCCTCCTTTTACTCTCCTACGTCATATTAGCTATTGATTCATGAGCAACTAGCGCAAGGCCTTCATCTTAACAGGCACATAAGCTTTTAAAAATGTTTTCAAATCATTTGACTTTGGTAAACAATTTTTATTTTTGTTTTAAATCCTATCCAGTGTTGTTGCCAATAATTTCTATATTTAATTTAAAATAAAACTTTGTTGAATGGTATCAAAGTGCAACCACTAATATTCTATCTGCTCTCACGGTCATTTATAGTGTATATCCTTTCATTAATCCATATTTAATGTCATCCCATCATGCATATACTCTACATCAGATGATGTCTGCATCATGAAGACAGGGCTTGTCTCTGAACTGTAGATTGCAGAGCAGCGGACAGGTATGGTAAACAGCCAATCACATTCCTAAGACACAGACTATGGAGGACTGTCCACAGGATCGAGAGGATGAAGAGACCACTCTCAGGGCAGTAAAAGGCAAGGAAGATTTTCTCTTTTTTTCAGAGACAGGGTCTTGCTCTGTTCACATGCACCTTTTATTTTTTGTAGAGAGGGGATTTCACTGTGTTATCCAGGCTGGTCTTGAGCACCAAGGCTCAAGTGATCCTCCTGCCAAAAGTGCTGAGATTACAGAAGTGACCCACGGAGCCCAATCAAGGCATAGATGTTTTAAGGAGAAACTGACTTCAGGAAATCCAGCCTGTAATCCCAGCTACTTGAGAGGCTGAGGTGGGAGGATCACTTGAGACCAGGTGTTGGAGTTCAGCCTGGGCAACATAGCAAGACCTTGTCTCTATAAAAAAAGGAAAAGAAAATTCAAACTACCAAGCAATTTGCAAATTTGATGCTAACGAGCTGCAAACAAACACCCCAAGGGGAGCCATAACAGACAGCCAGGGCCCAAGCGCTGGGGATCCCCGTGCGGAGGGGCCCTCTCTACCTCGGCTTTCAGCACGTGCATCAGGTTGCCCTTCTCCATGTACTCCATCACCAGGGAGTACTTCCCTTCCTCTATGATGACGCCCAGGAGCTTCACCACCCGGCTGTGTCTCAGTCTGTTCATCATCTTCGCCTCCTCCAAGAGGGCCTCGTTGTGCCTGTGGGCAGGAAAGGTGCTATGCTGAGGCTGGCAGAGCCAGCGCCTCAAGAGCCTGGTGCACACCTCCAACACATCACTCCCACGTGCTGGGGTCATGCTTGGGTCTGTACCGATCTCTTCCAGGCACAGGCCAGAAGCGTTAGAAGGCAGAGCGGTTTCTCACTTCCTCACAGTACTCCTGCCCAGTAACTGGCAGTGCATGCTCCAAAAATGTAAATCAATGAAGGAATGAATGAATCAATGAATGAAAAGTACATGAACAGCAGCAAGGTAACCTGAAAAAAGACCGTGCTGGACAGAACGATTAAAAAAAAAAAAAACAGCCTCTCTCAAAACCACTCTGACAAAGGAGGGAGAGAGGTGAAACCACTCTACTGGTTGCTTTAAAGGGAAGGCTCTCAGAACCTCTCAGGAATGAACTGCCTTTTCATTTTTATACTTAGGGCTGGTCCTCACTGAAAATGTGAAGCGAGTGAATAGGTCTGTCTTCACCCATCCTCCTGTTTCCTTTTCATTGTCCCCCCACCACACTTATCTCTTTGTCTTTCTCTATTTCCTTCTTGTTCATGTCTCTTCTGTTACTTACCAGCTGTGAGAGTCCTTCACTACCCAGTCTCAGAGTCCACATCAGCGACAATAACAATCCGAAGAGCCATCGTCACCCTGACATCTTGGCAGGCTCCCTCTCACTCTACCCACCAACGGCTCCGCAGCAGCCAACGGCTCCACAACAGCCAACGTCCCCATCCCGCTCAGAACTTAGCCCACCCACCCCTGCTCCCTACTCACTCAATGCAGTTGGGCCCCTTGTACACTGTTTTCATGATCATGAGTCCCTGGGTTCTGTGGAAACACAGAGACACCTTCCCAAAGCCTCCGCTGTCCAGTTCTGCACTCTCCAGGAAGTCACTGGATTTCATCTTAATGACATTCAAGGACATGTCTGGTTGCATTCTGAAGCTCAAGAACGCCCAAAATGGTACCACTTTTTCCCCCCCCGGCAGAGCTGTACCCTGTAAAGAAAACAGAGAGAAAACCTCAGGGCAAGACTATATATATATATATATATATATATATGTTTTTTTTTTTCTCCTTTGGAGACAGGGTCTCACTTTGTCAGTCAGGCTGGAGTGCAGTGGCACAATCATAGCTCACTGGAGCCTCGACCTCCTGGGCTCAGGCAATCCTCCTCCCTCAGCCTCCTTGAGTAGCTGGGACCACAGGTGCACCCCACCGTGACCAGCTGATTTTTTAATTATTTGTAGAGATGGGGGGGCCGGGGGATCTCACTATGTTGCCCAGGCTGGTCTCAAACTCCTAAGATCAAGGGATCCTCCCACCTCAGCCTCCCAAAGTGCTGAGATTACAGGTGTGAGCCATTGTACCTGGCAGAAAAGATCATTTTTAAAAACTTTTGTTAACATTCCACCACATGCTTGGTGTGCCTTGGATTTCTGAGGATAGACTTACAGTCATCTGATGAGCTATTTTTCATATTTTTAAGAATCAGAGAAGACTATAATATTTATTCCCTCAGCCTTTTTATTTCTGGCAATATGGAGCATTAGAAAATTTTAAGAACCCTCCAGCTATAAAGGACACAAGTATGTTGGACAACATAATACAAACATTCATTGAAATGCATACCAAAACTCCGTGGAAAGGAAAAGAACTCTAGGGACAGAAACAGAGCACCGGAGGCAGGCAGTAGCTCACACAGGGGAGTGCCAACCTCGCCATCCAGAAGTCAAGGTTTAAAGCCCAGCTGAGGTCAAGGAATACAAGAAAAGAAGGTAGAATGAAGAATCCCCCCTTAACACGGCACTGCTCAATGTGCAACCCTTTGATGAAAGGATGAACTAGAAAAAAAGCAGCCCATGGCAAACAAACATATTTGTCTTGGACTGGGCACAAGGTATTAAAAAAAAAAAAAAAAAGTTTGTGCAAATTTATAACCTTGGGCCTGTCTTGAAATAGATACAGACTTTGAATTGAGAGGATCGCCTAAACTATGAACTTTTACACAGGAAGTGGTCACAGGCTGATGCCATCCTGAGGTTATAGGCTAAAGCAAACAACAACCTCAAGCCAGGCCAGACAGAATTCCTACAAATACAAATTTAACATGAGCTCCCTTTCCAAAATTATAAAACACAAAAGAAAAAATTCACTGTGAGACAGACCCTGCAGCTACAGCAAGCAGCACTAGTAAGCACCAAAGAACTTCAGTAAATTAACAACTGAAAGGCATTAGAAAATGAATAGGTTTAAGTAATTATGAACAAAAGAAGGAATCTGAAGAATATAAAAAGAACAATGCAAACTCTAAGAAGAAAATGTGAAAAAGGAGTAGAATTTGGAGAATGTCCATCAGGGCTGTGAAGTATACAGTGTCAGATCTCAAAGCACAGCTATTTGCTTCATCCTTCCTCCCTTCTTTTCTTCCATTCATTCATTTTCCCCAAACTGAAATATAGAATAAAAACCCATGGAGAACCACAAGGAGACACCACTACACAACTACCAGGATATCCAAAACTAAAAAGACTAATACACCAAACACTGGCAAACATGTGAAGCAACCAGACCTCTCAAACATCACTGGTGGGAGTATAAAATGGTACAAACACTTTGGGAAAAGGGCTGGCAAAAAGCTTCGTGGCAAAACAGAAACTCCATGCAAACCAACAGGACACGGACACACTGGTGTGTGCATGTGAATGTGCGTGTCTGTGTTTTGCTTTGAGAGTAAAAGGAGGGCTATGGATGTTTTGTATTCCAGAAATACCCACATCCCGGCTGGGCGCCGTGGCTCACGTCTGTAATCCCAGCACTTTGGGAGGCTGAGGCGGGCGGATCACGAGGTCAGGAGTTCAAGACCAGCCTGGCCAACATGGTGAAACCCCGTCTCTACTAAAAATACAAAAATCAGCCAGGCGTGGTGGCACGCGCCTCTAATCCCAGCTACTCAGGAGGCTGAGGCAGGAGAATTGCTTAAATTTGGGAGGCGGAGGTTGCAGTGAGCCGAGATCGCATGCCACTCACTGCACTCCAGCTTGGGCAACAAAGTGAGACTCTGTCTCAAAAAAATTAAAATAAAATAAAATAATAAATATCTACATCCAGATACAGACCATGAAAAATACTCTTTCTGGGGCATAAAATATTCATTGAAATTTCATAGGCATTTATTTTGTTTATAAAACCACAAACACCTGCACTATGACCCAGCAATTCCAATCCCAAGAGAAATGAAAACGTATGTTGGAAAACACTTGTAAAATGTTCATAGCAACTTTATTTATAATAGCTCCAAACTGGAAACAGCTGCCCATCAGTAAGAGAATGAGTGAACACACTGGTGTATGAACACGATGGGATACTACTCAGCAATAAAAATGAACTACTGATACACATGAATGAAAACCGCATGAACGAAATGCAAAAACGTGATAAGTGAAAGTCGCCTTATACAAAAGCATACATACTATGTAATTCTATTTATATGACGGTTCAGAAGTCAAAACCAATCTGTGTCAGAAAAAGAACACTGGCCGCCTGTGAGCACGGTGAGGCTGAGTGGGCAGGGGCATGAAGGAACTTTCTGGGGTGATGATAATGTTGTAGGATATCAACGGGGGCTAGGGTTGCAGGCATACGCATCTGCCCATACTCAGCAGATGTACTCCCAACAACAGCAGGTAAATTTTACATCAAAAGACAAACCTGTAAACATATTGAACTCTAGCTATGGTATGCATGCTGAAGTATTTCGAGATGTGTACTGATGTGTACTTGGAAATACATCAAAAAGTCAGACAATGACGGACAGATGACGGGAAAGGAGATGGAGAATTACACGATGAAGCAAGCGGTGTTAAGACGATAGTCGTGGTGGACGTAACCTTCAGACTTGGTGTTTTTCATAATAAAATGTTGGAGGGCAGGGAGTTAAAAAATGAAAAAAGAAATACCTTGGGGAGAGGGGACTCTGGAAACTCCTAGGCTGCCCATGGTGTTGCACAGTGGCCGGCTACAGGTGACCCGGGTAACCAGCCTTCTACACCTCATCTAAAGGCTGGGGCCAGCTCTGTCTAGCGGAGGAAGCTCATACAGCAGCACCTATGGGCCTTCTTTCCTAGGACATAAGACATTACCAAACAAGAGAAGTGCCTCAGGAAACAACTACATCGGTGGGACGTGGGCAGTGGGTGGAGGCGGGGGGCTGCCTAGATGAAGGCCTGAAGACTGAGGGGTGGGGTGAGGCACACGCGTGAGGTAAGAGACCAGGAGCCATAGCTCCGAGAGCACGGGCCCTCCACTATGAGCGTGAACTCTAGCTCTGTGACTCACCAACCTGTGACCTTGGGGCACTTACTTATGCCTCAGTTTCCTCATCTGCAAAGTGAAACAATAATGACCACCTCACAGAAGTGGTAAGGATTATGAGAAAAAAAAAGTATACGTTCATGTATGTATACGTATAAATATACATATATTTGTATATGTATATATGTAATATATAATATATGATATAAAAATGTATATGTGTGTATATATACACATATTTGTATGTGTGTATGCATATATTGTATATGTAGATATATAGCTATATTTGTCTATGTGTATATACGTATATGTATATATTTGTATATGCGTATATATGTACATATGTATATATTTGTGAAAACACGTTTGTTGCCTGCTTTATGTCTCTAGCTATGGTTGGCCCAGCCGCCCACATGTGTTTATCCACACGGGTGTTGTTTCCTTGGGCTTTGAGAATGCCAACATTCTCAGCTGGGATCACTCTGTCAGCAGGGCCCTACTGACCAATCCTAGTGAGAATGAGGTAGGAGCGGGTGGAGACAGAGGGCATAAAAGATAACATTGATTTTAGGCCTCCTTTTTCATTCACTACACATCACTGGAGCAGGCAGAACTGTGAAGCCTTCCCCATTCCATAAGGGTCATCCGCCCCACCCTCTTAGGCCATATTCTTCCAACTTCTTGCCTGGTTAGGTGTCAGAGAACTGTCATTTTGTCAAGGAAGCCATCCTAAGTCTTCCCATTAGACACTTCCATAGGTAAGACAGTACTGTAATTGAGAATTATTTCTCATGAAGTTCACAGAAGGCAGGAAACTTGTCTTGTGCACCATCTCCAGAGCCTAGCAGAACCCAACGTATGCCGGCCCATCATCAATTGAATAACTATTTTAAAAAGAGAACTATTTAATTGTCCAAAAAAATAAAAATAAAAATATTGTTAAATGAATTACGGCACACTCCTAACAGAATATTATATAGCCATTCAAAATTGTTTTTGACGAATAAATCTGTAAAAATTATATTCACATTTGTGTGTGTTTTATATATATATATATGTAAATAGATAAAGATATAAGTACAGATAAAAAAGACATAAAGACACCAAAATGTTAACAAGGATTGTATCTTGATGATAGGTTGATTTTTACTTTCTTCTTTACACTTTTACTATGTTTTCCAAATTTTCCACAATAGACATGAATTAAATGTAAAATTAAAATTATTTTTTTGAAAGGAATAATTCCTTGACTCAGTATTTCTTTACTCTGAGGGATCAAATCAGAGATGCTGATAAAGATTATGTGCAAAGCTGTTCCTGGTAGCATTACATAGAACAGCAAAAGTAGGTAAAACACTTAGCATGTACAGAGGAGAGAATCAGTTATGCCCATCAACACTGAAATATATCTAGCAGTTTGCAAAAGCGATGTTGTGAAAGAATGTTTAATAATATTTAAAAAAGGTCACAGACAGTAAAGAAACAGGCAGGAACTACAACATGCCCTGAAAAATGCCCTTTTGAGTAAAAGGTTTCTACTTTATGAGGAGTCCTATTTGGTATCTCTTCTTCAGTCTCAGCCACATCTCCTCAAATTTGTCAAGACCAACTAGGACCTGCAGGTGCTGCTGTGTGCGGTGGAGTTTGGGAAGGCCTCTAGTTGGGTCCACTGGACTTTGGGAGCTTAGCTCCTGACCCAAGTCAGTTCTCCTTACAGTCTTGCGGTTTGCTAGTTTAGTCTGTTAATCTTCTGCATCTTCTGCATGGTGTTCAGTGATTTCTTTTGTTTTTCCTATCCACCCCTCTTTTTTCCACATGAAAGATTCAACTTTATGAGCACTGAATATCTTAGGAAGGCCTTGTGAGTAGTTGAAGGATATACAAAAACAGTGAATTTAGGCAGCTTATATGGCCATACTGCATAACCATATTATTACAAAGCCATGACACAGAGTGACAAAGACATGCTGGCCTGTTATAGCAAATAATTTTAACTAATAATTACGTCCATTTGAAGGAATTTGTAAATGTTTTGCATAAATATTAATTCAGGGACTCAGGACAGTGAATTTGTTTCTATTGAAATTAATGTGAAATCTCAAGGAATTTCACGATTACCTTCTAAGGCAGGGTAAGTATACATATCAAAATATTCTAATTAACTTTTTCCCCATTTTTCTATGATGACCACACATAACAAGAGAATGGCAGAAAATGCTGGTTGCCCACCTGCCATTGCCCCCTTTCTTCCCACTAACAGAATTCTGATTTTGCTCAGCTATCCAAGTGACCAGAGGATTTCTCCAACTTCCTTGATTACAGCAGCCTGATGCTTTGCCTGGATAAACAAAAGCTCTGAGCAAGGAAGAGACTTAAGGACCAGCAAGAGACAAGAATTGAAACAGAGTTTAAACAAGCATCATAACCCCTGAAGCAAATTTTATCATGATTTCAATTTGCAAATAAAGAAACTAAGATTTGGAGCTAAGTGATTCACCTAAAGTGGTAGGATCCTGGAATGAAATATTTGTCCCTTCATTCAAACTTTCACTATTGGCTCACTAATACATGCTACTTCTCTAGATAGCAAATAATCTGTCTTCGGAAAAATCCAGATGCAAAGACCCACCCTTACAGCCTTACTCATCTATATTAAATAAATGTGCGACAGTCAGAAACACGGAGAAAGTACAGAATAAACTTTTTAAATACAGGAAGGTGAGGTGCAGGGGCTCATGCCTGTAATCCCAGCACTTTGGGAGGCCAAGGAGGGCAGATTGCCAAGAGTTTGAGACCAGATTGGCCAACGTGGTGAAGCCCTGTCTCTACTAAAAATACAAAAATTAGCCAGGCATGGTAGTGCATGCCTACAATCCCAGCTTCTTGGGAGGCTGAGGCAGGAGAACTGCTTGAACCCGGGAGGCGAAGGTTACATTAAGCCGCGATCGCGCCACTGCACTCCAGCCTGGGTGACAGAGCAAGACTCTGTCTCAAAAATAAAAATACACGGCTCATGTATTTTTGAAATATATGGTTCAAAATCAATGTTCTACAGATTAATACAGTCAACCTTTTTTGCCAGAATGTAATATCCAACTAAAGCATGGGAAATTAAGTATTTTCTTCAAATTCCCAGATCATATGGATGTTAACACGTTATAGATTAATAAGCACCAAAAAGTAAGCTGCCCAGTTTGAAAGAGGCTGTTTAAGAGCTTTTCTTAATACTCATTAATATTCACATTCCAGAAAGTACAACATATCTCTGAGGCTCAGTATAGTTCAGACAGAGGAAAATGAGTATTAAAAGTTATCATTTTTGCTATTTTATCAGTAATAATGATACACTCCAAATTTCATTTTAAACAAGCCTAGTCTTCACTTTTTGTGAATAGAAGAGCTGCAGTATTCCCCATTTCTTTATTTATTTTTTTTTTTGATACAGAGTCTCCCTCTGTCGCCCAGGATAGAGTGTAAGTGGCAATCTCGGCTCACTGCAACTACCGCCTCCTGGGTTCAAGCCATTCTCCTGCCTCAGCCTCCCGCGTAGCTGGGATTACAGGGACCCGCCACCACACCTGGCTAATTTTTGTATTTTTAGTAGAGACAGGGTTTTGCCATGTTGGCCAGGCTGGTCTCGAACTCCTGACCTCAGGTGATCCTCCCACCTCGGCCTCCGAAGTGCTCGGATTACAGGAGTGAGCCACCGTGCCCGACGCAGTATTCCACATTTCTAACAAGACAATTTCCTCTTGACTCAGTCCATCTTCCTAGCAGTCACAGAATGCAGATGAGTACTAAGACATTGCACATTTCAAAGTTCACTTCCTGCCTTGGCTTCTTCAAGTGTAAGTCAGGGAAGAATTAATCATTGGAACAGCCTCCTGCTTTGCCCAAAATAAAAAAGAGCTCTGATTAAGGGAGAGCCAAATGGTCAGCAAGAGAGAAAGAACTAACAACCCCAGACCTCCCCCTGCCCCCGCAACCCCCGCATCCCTGTGAGGCTTTGTCAAATGCTTAGGGAAGGAGGATGCAGCCTATCCTCTTCCCAACCCTCAAGAGGGTCCGCAGCACTTCACAAAAGCACCTGCCAGTGACAGAAGCCTGCTAGGGTTACCACATTCGTCCCCTCAGTCGTCTAAGATCACGCAGAAATGCTTTTGTTTTTGGAACCTGCTGCGGCCTCAAGCGCAACAGTAAAAGGCCCTTTCAAAGGGCTGGTAAGGGAAGAGCCCAAACTGTTTTTTCTTAATGATAGGGCACTAGGAGCCCACCTTCTCCACCAAAACAACATTAATGGCGTGTGGGACTGCCTATTCCACCCTCACGCGGTAACCGCGGCCCAAAGGCAGGTCTCCGCCCGCTACCAGTCCAGCGCCCCGACCTCTGGCACAGAGGCGGCCAGCGGACTCCGGATAAGCAGAGACACCTAGCGGAGCACCCCTGACTTCCGGGAGCGCCCGCGGCCCCGCCCACCGCCCGACTTCCGGTACCGGCGGGGCCCGCCCGCCGCGCGCACCCCGGGCAGAGTCCCTCTCCTTCCGGGAAGCCCGCGGCCGCCCCGGCCTCCACGCAAGCACCCGAGCGTTACTTTCGTTTCCGCGGCAAACGTCTGGAGGCCCGGGTGAGGGAAGAAGCGGCGGCGGAGGGTTGGGGATTACTCCGACGCCGCGGCAGCCTTGCCCGGGCGTGCTGGGGGAGGGCGCGCGAACCCCGACCAGGGGGGTCACCGGGACTGAGCCCGGCGGCCTCCGGAATGTTCCCCGCGCGGTGCCAGTCCGCTCACCGCGCCCTTCTCCGTGGCCGCGCCGTCCAGCCAAGTCCTGCCGCGCTCCGTCGGCCCCGCCCGGATGGCCGCGCTCTGGCGCCCCAGCTGTGGGTCCCCTGGAGTCGCCGCGCTCCGGCAGCTGGCCCGCCGTCCGCGTCGAGCGCGCCCGGCTGGAGGGCGTGGACTGTTCGCGCTGCCTCCTCCCCCTGCCCCGGCCCTTGCCGGGGAGGAGGACCGCGAGAGCGCCGCCCCGCCGCTCGTGGGACCTCGCGCCCGGGGTCTGAGTCCCGGAGCTCTCTTGCGGGCTAGAGGATCGCGGACTTTGTTTTCAAGCGAGTGGGGCGGCCTACGTAAAAGAGGAAACCGAAACCTCCGCGCGCACGAGAGGGAGAAGGGTCTGGAGGGAAGCACTGGGTGGATTACAGCGGGGGCGCTATCCGGAGGATTCAGAGCTCTGCGGGTTAGCATAGGCAAGTTAGCATTCCTCTACCTTCATCTGTAAAGTGGGGCTGTTGAGGAGGAAATGTGATTATTTTGCAGCCCTTTAAAATGGTAATTGTGAAGTCTCGAGCAAAGTTGGAACTGCATGCTATTCATGTATATTAAAAATCAAATAATAAAATTATATGCACATCAGGCCGGGCGCGGTTGTTCACGCCTGTAATCCCAGCACTTTGGGAAGCCAAGGCGGGCGGATCACTTGAGGTCAGCAGTTCGAGACCAGCCTGGCCAACATGGTGAAACCCCATCTCTACTAAAAAATACAAAAATCAACTGGGCGTGGTGGCGGGCACCAGCAATCCCAGCTACTCGGGAGGCTGAGGCAGGAGAATCCCTTGAACCTGGGAGGTGGAGATTGTAGTGAGCCGAGATCGCGCCACTGCACTCCAGCCTGGGTGACAAGAGCAAGATTCCGTCTCAAAAGGAAAAAAAAAAAAAGCACAACAGGATTACATACTGTGAAAAGATATGTATGTCAAGAGAACTAGCCACGTTCACAACACGAGCCACAGACTGGGAGAAAATATTTGCAAAAGACATATCTGATAAAGCACTGTGACCCAAAATATACCAAAAAAAACCCTCTTAAAATGCAACAATATGAAAATGTACAACTTGATTAAAGGCGGGCAAAAGCTCTGAACATACACCTCACCATATGTATATGCATATGAAAAGATGCTCAACATCATGTCATTAAAGAATTGCAATTTAAAAAAACAAATACTATTACACATTTATTAGAATGGCTAAAATTCAGAACACTGACAACAACAAATGTTGATGAGGATCTGGAGCACAAGGAACTCCCATACATTCCTAGTGGGAATGCCTAATGTTAGAGTCTGGAAGACATTTTGGCAATTTCTTAACCAAGCTCTTCTTACCATAAGATGAAGCAACTCCACACCTTGGTATTTACCCAAACGAGTTGAAAGCTTATGCCCATACAAACACCTGTACAAGAATGTCTATAGCAGCTTTATTCATAATTGCCAAAACTTGAGGGCATCCAAGATATCACTTAATGGGTGGACAGATAAGCTGTGGTACATCTATACAATGGAATATTAAGTGCTAAAAAGAAATGAGCTCTGAAGCCACAAAAAAAAAAAAAAAAAAAAAAATCCTGGAGCAATCCTAAATGTATAAATCTAAGTGAAAGAAGCCAATCTGAGAAGACTACATAATGCATGATTCCAACTATGTGACATTCTGGAAAAGGAAAAACTACGGAGATAGTAAAAAAGATCAGCGGCTGCCAGGGATTTGCAGGGAAGGAGGGATGGATAGGTGAGGCACAAGGGATTTTTAGGGCAGTGGAGT
Source organism: Homo sapiens (assembly GCF_000001405.40). Taxonomy (NCBI): domain Eukaryota; kingdom Metazoa; phylum Chordata; class Mammalia; order Primates; family Hominidae; genus Homo; species Homo sapiens. The sequence goes on along the minus strand of NC_000006.12, from coordinate 3,066,852 downwards.
CTGACGTTACAGGGTTGGGTACATCTCTATACATTTGTCAAATGTATCTTGAATATACACAAAGAGCAAAACCTAACAAACTCCGGACTTTGGCTGATAATGTATATGTTTTATCCATATTGGTTCATTTTTGTAACCATGAATCTATGTTGGTTTATCAGGTGTGACAAATATTCCACAGTAATGCAGGATGTTGATGGTAGGGGAGGCTGTACAGTCCAGGATGTTTGTGGAAGGGGATATTTTCTTTCTGCTTAGTTTTGCTGTAAACCAAAACAGCTCTAAAACAAAGTCTATTCATTATTTTTTAAAAGATGTACACATATCAAAAAAGACGAAAGGCAGAGCTATTCACTCAGCAAAGCTTTCTATCTACTGTATGCCAAGCAGGTACTAGATACAAGAGCATCTGGTGATAGATACAAGAAATACAAAAAGGAATTCATTCCTTCAGTAAATATTTACTGAGCACCTGTTCTAGGCACTGAAGACTCGGTTGTGAATTAAACACAAAAAATCTCTATGTTCTGGCCGTGTGTAGTGGCTCACACCTGTAATCCTAGCACTTTGGGAGGCCAAGTCGGGCGGATTGCCTGAGCTCAGGGGTTCCGGACCAGCCTGGCAAACATGATGAAACCTCGTCTCTACTAAAAATACAAAAATTAGCTGGGCGTGGTGGTGCATGCCTGTAGACCCAGCTACTCAGGAGGCTGAGGCGGGAGAATTGCTTGAACCCAGAAGGCGGAGGTTGCAGTGAGCCAAGATTGCTCCAGCCTGGGTGACAGAGCCAGACTCCGTCTCAAAAAACAATAAAAAATAAAAAACTCCACGTTCCATTCGTGGAGCTTGCATTCTAATGGGGAAGACAAAAAGTTATTGCCCATCACTGTCCTCTAGACATCATGTGACCTTGGGAGGTTGGAAATGCGTTGTTTTTGCTTCATTTTGTGTTCAGTGTTTTAACTCAGAAACATCTATTTGGGAGCTTTACTCATTACTCCCAGCAAAAGCCATGAGTGTAGACTGTGCATGAGATGAAGGAACTGGTCCTTGCAGAACACCAGAATGGAAAAGGCAAGAAACAGCCCAAGGTGAGGAAAGAAAACCAGCGAGAACAAAGAGCTGGTACTATCTCTGAAGCCCGTGGAGGCCAAAGTGTGAATATGAGGGGGTAGGTCTCTTGGCCACAGGCCTGAAACCAAATGAACCCCCACCCCCAGGCTGCAGTTCCCAGTGCACTTGGAAATGAGACCCTGACTCCTCCAGGTGAGCCTGGGAGACCTCCCTGACTCCTTTCCATCTCCCCCTCCTCCCCCACACCCATCTCCAAGGCCTGCCCTCTACGCCCACATTTCTTCCCACTTTGGATCCTGTGCCTGGTCTAATGCCCAGGCCCCCTCCCGAGCCTCTGGTCTCCCTAGAGCCACTCCCCACTGTCGGGACACCTCATCTGTGCTCCCCAAAACGCCACGCAAAGCACTGGAGAGCCTTGGACAATGAACACAACCCGCACCCCCAGCCACCCCCGCCACAGCCGCACGGCACCTCAGAAAGCCGTGTCTTTTTTTTTTTTTTTTTTTTTTTTTTTGAGACGGAGTCTGGCTCTGTCGCCCAGGCTGGAGTGCTGGAGTGCAGTGGCGCGATCTCAGCTCACTGCAAGCTCCGCCTCCCGGGTTCACGCCATTCTCCTGCCTCAGCCTCCCGAGTAGCTGGGACTACAGGCGCCCGCCACCACGCCCGGCTATTTTTTTGTATTCTTTTTTTTCTTTTTTTTAGTAGAGACGGGGTTTCACAGTGTTAGCCAGGATGGTCTCCATCTCCTGACCTCGTGATCCGCCCGCCTCGGCCTCCCAGAGTGCTGGGATTACAGGCGTGAGCCACCGCACCCGACCAGAAAGCGGTGTCTTAATCCTCTTGTCCTTCCTCCTAAATCTCCTGGGGCCCTTAGGATCCGCTTAAAGCCACCTCGTTAAAACGGTTTCTTCTCCACCTGCCCCTCCCTTGATCCAGCCTCACTGAGGTCACAGCCTCCACCTCTGGCCATCCTGAACCCCTCCCAAAGTCACCTCTTCGCAAACTCCTGGTCCCCCTTAGAAGGCCCCACGTCCATCACGGGATTAATTCCACTCACCCTCAAACACCGCGGCCCGGAGGCTCTGATTCCCACCCTAGAGGAGGTTCTCTTGACCCCGCCGGCGCGACCCTCCCCAGCACGACCCTTCCTCCCGAAAGTGATTCCTCATCTTGCTGGCGGGTCCCACAGACCGCAGGCTCTGCAGGCGAGCGCTGAGCCTGGCTCTGCAGATTCTCAGTCCCTGGAGGAGTGCTCCGGGGAAGGAAGGGCCCCATCCGTTTCGCTGAGTTACTGAAAGAATTAGAATGGGTAAGAGTGCTCGGATTTAGAACTGGAGACTAGTGACTTTGAAAGACAGAAGAAGAACCAGGACAGACGTCATCCTGCGGATCCCAGAGCAGAGAGGAGCAGTGAGAACACAGGGCCGGCAGGTGGGGAGGAGGCTGCAGGGGAGGGCTTCGGCCAGGGAAGGGCAGCGAGGAGGCGCCGGGGAGGGCGGCGTCCGCGCTGGCTGGGAGCTGCGGAGGCGGAAACCGGCTGCGCGCTGCAGGGGACCCCCCACAGACCGTTGCTGACCCCGCCGAGACACCACCGCCTCCCCGGGGCTCTTGGCTGAGCGACCTCTCCTGTCTTCAGGTCCCATCTTTCGGTGGCAGCCGGTGGACCTGAAGCTCGCCACTCCCGTGCTCCACCCCGGCCGTGCGCGGGGACGTCCTCACCTGCCACCTAGTCTCCGTGTCGCGCTCCGAGCCTGGACGCCGACTCCCGAGGCGCAGGACCGGGCCCTGCTGCTGCGCTCGCCGCGGACTCCCACTCGGCCCCGGCGGGCACCGCCTTTTATATAGTAGCTTGTGACGCCACGGAGCTTTTCCCACACTTGACGAGCAGTCTAACTGGGGCTCCGCCTGCCGGGACTAGCCGGGGAGGCGCGCGCGTTCGCGCGGCGGCGGAGGGCAGGGCTAGGCGCAGAGGCAGATCCGTCTACCCCCAGTCCGCCCCGCCCAGGGCGATGTCCGCCAATGCTCCCGCCAGCCTGAGGCCGGCCAGGTTCCCAAGGCGCGCGCTCGGCCTCACCCACCCCCGGCGCCAGGGCCTCTTCAGGACCGGGTTCAGAACCTGACAGCCCAGAGAAGTAGGTTGGGAGCCTGCGGCGTCCAGGGCCTCCGCGCGAAGAAACAAGGCGTCTGCGGGAAAGGAGACGGAGCCTGGAACCCTGGGCTTTTCTACTTAAGGAAGCGAAGGTCGGGTGACAGCCAAGCTCCCTGTTCCAGTGGGAAGGCCCCATGGGTCTGTGTTCCACGCCTCTTGTCATGAATATGGGGGATTCACTTAGAACCAAAGCATTTGTTCCAGGTCCCACCACTAACTAGTACTAGTCCTGGGCCCAGAACCAGGCGTCCTCACTCCTAGTACCCAAGCCCTTCTCTAGCCACAGGTGTTTGGGCTGCGGTGTGGTGTAAGCAGCCCCATTTTCCCGCAAAGTGATGGGAAGAGACACTGAGTCACACGGGCTCAGGACACTCCTTGTGTCCTCTATCAGGGGATCCAGAGGCAGGGACTCGGGGGAGTTGATGCAGCAGTTCGTGATGTCATCAGATATCCCCCCACCCCCTTCCATCTCAGGCTGGACTCAATTGGAAGCATTTCATGTTGGCACGGTGACGTCCAGAGGAAGGGAACAGACAAATGGCTCTCTCTGGAGCACGGAGCGTCGCCCAGAAGCCGTGCCCTCCTGTTTCAAATTGACCAGAATTAGAGCTTTCTCCTGAGGGCCTGAATTAGGGAGAAGCAAGCCAGGTGCCTAAGGCACAAAATTTCAGGAGGGCCACACGCATAGGTGCCAACCCTGCATTTGCGCGGCCCTGAGAATCAGAGCCTCCTTCAATTTGACACCCTAGGTGCCTAGCTTGTTCTTATTAAGGTTGGGTACGGTGGCTCACGCCTGTAATCCCAGCATTTTGGGAGGCCGAGGCAGGCAGATCACGAGGTCAGGAGCTCCAGACTAGCCTGGCCAACATGGTGAAACCTCGTCTCTACTAAAAATACAAAAATTAGCCCGGCGTGGTGGTGCACGCCTGTAGACCCGGCTACTCAGGAGGCTGAGGCAGGAGAATCGCTTGAACCTGGAGGCGAAAGTTGCCATGAGCCGAGATTGCACCACTGCACTCCATCCTGAGCGACAGGCGAGACTCCGTCTCAAAAAATAAAAATAAAAATAAAAATAAATAAATAAATAAATAATATATAAATAAAATAACACCTTTAGTAAAATACAATTCACATACCATAATGTTCATCCTTTTAAAGCATGCAATTCAGTAGTTCTTAGTATATTGATGAAGCTGTGCAACTATCACCACTATCTAACTCCAGAAGATTTTCATCACCCTAAAAGGAACTGTGATACCCATTAGCAATTATTCTCCATTTCCTCCTTCCCACAATCCCTGGCAACCACAGATTTATTTTCTGTCTCTGGATTTTCCTATTTCGGGGATTTCATGCAAAATGAACCATACAATATGTGGTCTTTCGTGGCTGCTTCTTTTACTTAGCATAATGTTTTAAAGGTTCATTCATGATGGTTCAAGGTAGCATTTGTCAGGCTTCATTTCTTTTTATGGCTGAATAATATAATAATATGTATACATATATCTATTTTGTTTACCCTTTCAATTGACAGACATTTGGGTTTTTTCCATCTTTGGCTATTATGAATAATGCTGCTATCAACATTCATGTATAAATATATTTATGAATAATGCTGCTATCAACATTCATGTATAAATATATGTATAGAGGTATGTTTTCTTGAGCTTATCATGGATATATACCAGTGGGTAGAATTGGTGAGTCATATGGTATAACTCTATATTTAACTTTTTGAAGAACTGCCAAACTTGTTTTTGCAAAGCTACTGTGCAATTTTACATTCCTGCCAGCAATATACAGGCATACCTCAGAGATATTGTGGGGTAGGTTCCAAACCACCACAATAAAGCGAATACCACAATAATGCAAATCACGCAACGCTTTAGCAGCCCTATGCATATAATAGTTATATACTATACTGCAGTGTATTAAGTGCACGTTATGTCTCAAAAATGTAGATACCTTAATCATAACACATGTTATCACTAAAAAAAATGATGATAGTCATCTGAGCCTTCAGTGAGTCATAATCTTTTTGCTGGTGGAGTGGCCCGCCTCAATGTTAATGAACCTGACTGATCAAGGTGGTGGTTGCTGAAGGCTGGAGTGGCTGTGGCAATTTCTTTTTTTTTTTTTTGAGACAGAGTCTCGCTCTGTCGCCCAGGCCTGAGTGCAGTGGCGCTATCTCAGCTCACTGCAAGCTCCGCCTCCCGGATTCACGCCATTCTCCTGCCTCAGCCTCCCCAGTAGCTGGGACTACAGGCGCCCACCACTGCGCCCAGCTAATTTTTTGTATTTTTAGTAGAGATGGGGTTTCACCGTGTTAGCCAGGATGGTCTCGATCTCCTGACCTCGTGATCCACCCACCTCGGCCTCCCAAAGTGCTGGGATTACAGGCGTGAGCCACCGTGCCTGGCCGGCAATTTTTTAAAATCAGTTGGCTTCATCAATTGATTCTTCCTTTTATGAAAGATTTCTCTGTAGCATGTAACGCCATTTGATAGCATTTTATGCACAGTAGAACTTATTTCAAATTGGTGTCAATCTTCTCAAACCCTGCCACTGCTTTATCAACTTACTTTGTTATATCCTAAATCTTTTGGTTTTTGTTTGTTTGTTTTGAGACAGAGTCTCGTTCTGTCAGCCAGGCTGGAGTGCAGTGGCACAATCTCAGTTCACCGCAACCTCCGTCTCCCAGGCTCAAGCAATTCTCCTGCCTCAGCTTCCCGAGTAGCTGGGATTACAGGCATGTGCTACCACACCTGGCTAATTTTTGTATTTTTAGTAGAGACAGGGTTTCACCATGTTGGCCAGGCTGGTCTCGAACTCCTGACCTCAGGTTATCCACCGGCCTCGGCCTCCCAAAGTGCTGGGATTACAGGTGTGAGCCACCACACCCGGCCTGTTGTCATTTCAACAGTGGTTACAGCATCTTCCCCAGAGGCAGATTCCATCTCCAGAAACCACTTCCTTTGCTCATCCATAAGAAGTGACTCCTCATCTGTGAAAGTTTTATCATGAGGTTGCAGCAATTCTGTGACATCTTCAGGTTCCATTTCTAATTCTAGTTCTGTTCTATTTCCACCATATCTGCAGCTACTTCCTTCCCTAAAGTCTTCCATGAGCGTTGGAATTAATTTCTTCCAAACTCCTGTTAATGTTGACATTTTGACCTCCTTCCACGCATCACAAATGTTCTTAATGGCATCAAGAGTGGTGAGAACCTTTCTAGCAATTTATCAATTTATTTTGCCCAGATCCACCAGAGGAATCACTATATCTGGCAGCTAATAGCCTTTTAAAAATTATTTTGTGTTTATTATTATCATTATCATTATTATTATTATTATTATTATTATTATTATTATTATTATTTTGAGATGGAGTCACACTCTTGTCACCCAGGCAGGAGTGCAGTGGTGCGATCTCGGCTCACTGCAACGTCCGCCTCCCGGGTTCAAGCGATTCTCGTTACTCAGCCTCCCAAGTAGCTGGGATGACAGGCGCCCGCAACCACGCCCAGCTGATATTTGTATTTTTAGTAGAGACGGGGTTTCCCCATGTTGGCCAGGCTGGTCTCGAACTCCCTACCTTGGTTAATCCACCCGCCTTGGCCTCCCAAAGTGCTGGAATTACAGGCGTGAGCCACCACGCCCGGCCGGAAGTGTATTTTTTAAATAATAAGACTTGAAAGTTGAATTTACTCCTTGATCCATGGGCTGTAGAATGGACGTTGTGTTAGCAGGCATGAAAACAGCATTCATCTCCTTGTACGTCTCCGTCAGAGCTCTTGGGTAATCAGGTGCATTGTCAATGAGCAGTAATATTTTGAAAGGAATCTTTTTTTCTGAACAGTGAGTCTCAACAGTGGACTTAAAATACTCAGTAACCTATGCTGTAAAGAGACATGCTGTCACCCAGGCTTGGTGGTTCCACTGAGAGCACAGGCAGAGTAGGTTTAGCATAATTCTTAAAGCCCTAAGATTTTCAGTATGGTAAATGAGCATTGGTCTCAACTTAAAGTCACCAACTGCATTAGCCCCTAACAACAGAGTCAGCCTATCCTTTGAAGCTTTGAAGCCAGGCATTGACTTTTCCTCTCTAGCTATGGAAGTCCTAGGTGGCATCTTCTTCCAATAGAAGGCTGTTTTATCTACATTGAAAATCTGTTTAGTGTAGCCACCTTCATCAATGATCTTAGCTAGATCTTCTGGATAACTTGGTGCAGCTTCTCCATCAGCACTTCCTGCTTCACATTGCACTTTTATGTTACAGAGATGCCTTCTTCCCTTAAACCTCATGAACCAAGAACCAACCTCTGCTAGCTTCCAACTTTTCTTCTGCAATTTCCTCACTTCTCTCATCCTGCATAGGATTGAAGAGAGTTGGGGCCTTGCTCTGGATTCGGCTTTGGCTGAAGGGAGTTCTGTGGCTGGTTTGATCTATACAGACCACTTAAATTTTCCCCATGTCAGCAATAAGGCTGTTTTACTTATCATTCATGTGTTCACTAAAGCAGCACTTTTAATTTCCTTCAATAACTTTTTCTTTCATTCACAACTTGGCAGCTTGTTTGGTGCAAGAGGTCTTGCTTATGGCTTATCTTGGCTTTTGACATGTCTTCCTAACTTTAATCGTCTTTCACTTTTGATTTAAAGTGACAGGCATGCAACTCTTCCTTTTATTTGAAGATTTAAAGGTCATTATAGGGTTGGTTCTTCACTACCCTAATTTAAATATTGTTGTGTTGTCTCAAAGAATTTGGGAGAGGGAGAGAGATGGGAAATGACTGCTCACTGGAGCAGTCAGAACACACACAACATTTATCCATTAAGTTTGTCAACGTATATGGGTTTAGTTTGTGGCACCCCAAAACAATTATAGTAGTAACATCCCGGATCACTGTAACAGATGTAATAATAATGACAATGTCTGAAATATTGTGAGAATTACCAAAACGTAACACAGAGACAAGAAATGAGCACATGCTGTTGGAAAAATGGTCCCAAAATCCTGCTTGACACAGTTGCCACAGACCTTCAATATGTGAAAAACACAATATCTTTGAATTGCGCTAAAGCAAAATGCAATGAAATGAGGGATGTCTGTATAAGACAAAGAGAAAATCATAAAAGCAGCAAGACATGTACAAGGGATCCTCAATAAACTCATATGTCTATGGCCAAGGGTGCCAAGCAGTATTCAATTCAGGGAAGAATAGTCTTCAACAGATGATATGGAAGGACTGTATTTCCACATGCAAGAGTAAAGTTAGACCCTGCTTCACACCGTATTAAAAAAACCCTCACAAGCAATGAACTAAATATAAAAACTAAAATCATAAAATTCTTAGGAGAAAACATAGAAGCAAATCTTCATAATTTTGGGTTTGGTAATAGGCTCTTAGATATGATAGCAAAATCTCTTGCAAAACAACAATGAAAAAACAAAAAGAAACAAAATCCACTGGGAGTAATCTTCATTAAAATCTGAAATTTTGTGTATCAAAGGATATTATCAAGAAAGACAACCTACAGAGTGAAGGAACATTTTTGCAAATCATATAGCTGATAAATTCAGAATATAAAGAACTTCTACAACTCAACAATGAATAGGCAAACAATCCAATTAAAGTATAAGCAAAGGACTTGGATAGACATTTCTCCAAGGAAGGTATACAAATGGCCAGTAAATGCATGAAAAGACGATTCAAGTCATTAGTCATTAGGGAAATGCAAATCAAAAACCCAATGAAATACCACATCACATCTGCTAGGATGGCTATAATTTAGGGGAAAAAAAGCAACATAATAAATGCTGGTGAAAATATGGAGAAATTGGAACCCTCATACATTGTTGGTGGGAATGTAAAATTGCACAGACACTGCGAAATACATTTTGGCTATTCCTCAAAAAGCTAAACATAGGATGACGATAGAATTGTTATAACAATTCCATTCCTCGGTAGATACCCACAGTATTAAGCGCAGGGAGTCACACAGATACATATATGCCAAGAATCATTGGTGCATTATTCACAAATCTCAAACGACCCGTGCATTTTTAATATTCGGCCACAAAGAAGTGAAATTCTGACTCATATTACAACATTGATGAAACTTGCCAACAAGGTTTTCAAGGGAAATAAGCTGACTGTAAAGGCCCATTTTGTAGGATTCCACTTATACGAAGTACATGGGACAGACAAATCATAGAGACAGAAAGTAGATTAGAGGCTACCGGTAATGAAAGGAGGGGGGAATGGGAAGTTATTTTACAATGAGTACCGTGTTTTTATTTGTTCTGTTGAAAAATGTTTTGGAAATAAATAGCAGGAAAGGTTGCACAACATAGTCGATGTAATTAATGCTTCTGAACTGTCCACTTAAAAATGGATAAAACAGCATATCTTATGTTGTACATATTTGACTACACAAAAACAAAGTTTAAAAGTACAAAAAACTCTGTTATTAAGAGTCAGTTTCCCAAAGGGATGGAGATGCTGGTAACAGAAGGGAAAGAAATCTCATCAAATAAAAAAAAGCAATGTCCTCTTCAGGAGGTGGCTCAGCTAGTTTAGCTTTACCTTAGCACCATGATGGTTCATTTTATTCAGAAATAGAAACATGGGGCGTTGGGGAGAAGAGGAGATGTGTACCTGCCTCACCTGCCTCCCTGCCCAGAATGCCGACTCCGACTCTTGCTTTCCACTAAGGCTGGGGATTAAATGAAAATTGAGAATCTGGAAACCCCCAGAGATGATGTTTGTCGTTGGAGCTGATTTTATCTCGTCTTAGTAGCGTGACCTCCTCTTCAAACTCAGGATGCAATTATGGTCAATCTCATCAGTGTGCAGTAATTGCTCAGCCCCAATACCAGATTAGCAGGAAGTTCTGTTATTTTCCTTTTGAGGACGGGCTCCTACTGAACTGTCCTAGAATCTACCACCATTCAACTCACACCACTCAAAAGACCCAGGGAACGGCCAGGCGCGGTGGCTCCCGCCTGTAATCCCAGCACTTTGGGAGGCCGAGGCGGGCGGCTTCGAGGATCAGGAGGATCACGAGGCGGATCACGAGGTCAGGAGATCGAGACCATCCTGGCTAACACGGTGAAACTCCGTCTCTACTAAAAAAAAAAAAAAAAAATTTAGCCCGGCGTGGTGGCGGGCGCCTGTAGTCCCAGCTACTCGGGAGGCTGAGGCAGGAGAATGGCGTGAACCCGGGAGGCGGAGCTTGCAGTGAGCCGAGATCGCGCCACTGCACTCCAGCCTGGGCCAGAGCGAGACTCTGTCTCAAAAACAAAAACAAAAACAAAAACAACAAAAAAAGACCCAGGGAACTAGGCCAGTCCAGCTCCCAACCCCAAGCAGGGAGCAACTTGCTCAGTCCACGTTGTGATAGCTCCTCGCTGCCACAAGGTGGTGATGTTGCATCACACACGCGCATGATGGGCGCGCAGGCGCCAATGCTCCCAGGACCTGCTGTTCCATTCCTAAATGAAAGTTGTTCCCAGGATCTGGACTCACAAGACAAGGCAGCCTGTTCCCTGCTGGGGAGCTCAGGGGCAAGAGGGCATCTCGGAGGGAGGGCACATTCTCACCTCTGAAGACAAGGAGAACATCATCAGCACATAGACCAATCCCAGCAGTGCACCTTAGGATGGGGGCCACTGTGAGTTACAGCAAAATGAACGAATGAATGAACCAATAAATGTCTGAGAGGGAAAGTCCCAACGACCCTCAGGAGGTGCAATCAAGAGTTGCAGTTATTTTCGTTAGGAACGTTCTAAACCACAGGGGAAACCTTCCTTCCTTCTGCTCTATCGTTGGAGTGGGACATCAGTGTTTCTGGTCTCTATTTCCGGGACACCAGAAATCAAGGTATAGAGTTTGGAGAGGGGTCTTGGGGAGGTCACAGTGGCAGGTGACTGCCAAATGAGGGGGCAGAAGCCAGCAAACACTAGAAAAAAAGACAATCGGCCTAAACTGTTCACCAGCACCGCCCTCCCAACCCCCAACTGGCTCTGTTTCCAAGACTTTCCATTTTCTAGCCATTTCCTTGTCCTTAAACCACTTTCCTTTAATCGAACTTTTTCTTTGGAGCCATGCACCCAAGGACTATGGCCTGTCCTTGGGAATTATAGGGAATTCCTGTTGTATGTGAAATTTTCCACCGATTTAAGAATCTTTGGAAAGCTTTACTACAATATCCTGGTCCATTGTCAGTTTTGATTTTTTCTGGAACTCCCATGACAGCAAAACAAGACAATAAACGTTTTTTAACATGGGAAGTACTTTCTCCTGTCTGGCAAGCTGCCCATATGAAATGTGAATAAGTATCAACTGTTACATGAACATATGACAATCTTCCAAATGAAGGGACATGCGTGACATCCATTTGCCATAATGCATTAGGACACAGACCTCTGGGATTAACTCCTGCCTCTTGAGTGGGCAGGTGTAAGACTTAACACTGGGGAGAAACCTTGGACAATACCTGGCTTTCCTAGGCAGAGGACCCTGCGGCCTTCCACAGTGTTTGCGTCCCTGGGTACTTGAGATGAGGGAGTGGTGATGACTCTTAAGGAGCATGCTGCCTTCAAGCATTTGTTTAACAAAGCACATCTTGCACCGCCCTTAATCCATTTAACCCTGAGTTTGACACGCACATGTTTCAGAGAGCACGGGGTTGGGGGTAACGTCATAGATTAACAGAATCTCAAGGCAGAAGAATTTTTCTTAGTACAGCACAAAATGGAGTCTCCTATGTCTACTTCTTTCTACACAGACACAGTAACAATCTGATCTATCTTGCTTTTCCCCCCACCGCCCTCCCAACCCCCAACTGGCTCTGTTTCCAAGACTTTCCATTTTCTAGCCATTTCCTTGTCCTTAAACCACTTTCCTTTAATCGAACTTTTTCCTTGGAGCCATGCATATCCGGTTTCCCCCAATGGTGGCATCTCACAAAGGACGGTCCAGTATCCCAACGGCGTGTTGCGTTCTGCGGGACGCAGATTTCCTTCACAGGCACCCCCCGGGTTGCGTTTTTATAGCCACACACCCGCCGCCTCCCTAACTCCTGGGCACAGCTAATGAGTCCTGCATTTCTCTCCTCTGTCCTTTGGAGAAATTGATCCCCCGTCTGTGATCTTTGGGATTGGTTTCGCTCACCAGCGTAACTCCCCGGGAGATCCAGCAGGCTGATGGGTGTGGAGTACCAGTGGCTCATTCTTTTTGTCGCACTACAGACTCTCATTCTGTAACCTGGATATCTGCCAGGGATGGGGCGGGGGTTGGCATAGAGCAGGAGCGTCCCTCCTCCCCGCACAGAGTCCCAGCACTCCTTTTTTTTTTTTTTTTTTTTTTGAGATGGAGTCTCACTGCAGTTCAGGCTGAAGTGTAATGGTACGATCTCGGCTTACTGCAACCTCCGCCTCCTGGGTTCAAGCAATTCTCCTGCCTCGGCCTCCCGAGTAGCTGGGACTACAGGCGCTCCCCACTACGCCCAGACTAATTTTGGTATTTTTAGTAGAGACAGGGTTTCACTGTGTTGGCCAGGCTGGTCTCGAACTCCTGACCTCAGGTGATCCGCCCGTCGCGGCCTCCGGGATTACAGGCGTGAGCCACCGCGCCCGGCCTCCGCGCTCCATTCCTGTGGGTCCAGTTTCCACCTCCTCGAAACCCAGCAGGGTCCTCCCCAGCCCTGAAGGGCTAGACGAGCCCGGAGGCGGACTGCGGTGGCGTGGCGTGGCGTGGGCGGAGCTTGGAGCCGGAGGCGGGGTGTGGGCGGGGCTGAGAGGCGGGGTGCGGCCTCGGCGTGGGCGGGGCCTGTGTGTGGCGGGCGCGCTGCGGAAACAAGCCTGCAGTCCCGCGGGCCTGGTCCCAGGCTGCTTGGGTTGTGCGGGTACCTGGTCCCCCAGGGCGGAGCCGCAGCGCTCCTGGTCTGCGGGACGTGGCCCTGTAGCTGGAACCTGGCGCAACTCAGAGAGCTGTCCTCGCAGAGGCGCTGGTCCCAGACCTGCGGCTCCTACCCCGGCCGGCGCTGGCTGGAGGGTGAGTGATCTCCTACCGGAGACCGAGGGACTTGGGAGAGGCAGTTCCCTCCTGCAGCCTCCCCGGAGGTTCTAGGTCACCATTCACTGTCCCTGCAATGAGACACCTTCCGGTACCACTTATCTAAAATAGCAAACATTCCCCTGCTGTTTGATCCGCTAGAGTACTTTATTTGCTTATCACTATTAGGTACCATAGTTTTTGGTACTTACCGCCACCTGGAATTTTGTGGCGCTTTCTTTGCCGGCTTGTTTATTGTTTCTTGCCCGCCCCCCGTACCGTCCCCGAAGAGTACAAAGTTCCATTCGTATCTGTCTTGTGGCCCCAGCACCTGCCCAGAGATGAGCCCTCCTGCCAGGAGGGGTCCAGCTGAACAAACGTGTGTATGGGTTAGGAAATGTGTCCCACTCATTGCTAGTAATGGAGTCAACGCCAGCGGCTTTCAAAGAACTCGTGAAGAGCCTGGAGCTTCTCAGAAACCATCACCCGCTCTGGAACCTCCATGACTCTGGGCTGCATACTCACCTTCCAATCTTAGTTTCGCCTCCACCTTGACCTTTAACCCTCCTGGGGGCCCGTCTGCAATAGTGCTTCAGATTCTTCCCCTATCTTTAACCTGAGAGCACCTGCCTCACCTTAGACCTGCTCTCCGCTGTCCTCAGGGTCCCTCCACGGTGTGCGCCATGGGCAGCCTCCTTCCCTCTAGGTTCCCCATAGATTGAGAGCGACCTGAGAAGGGGGCCAAGCCGTGGGGAGAAGCAAGTCCTGAGCTGCCTGGCCAAGCCACGCCCGTGGGGTCAGGAGAAGGGCCCTCCTCCTCGGCCTCACCGACCAGACTCCTGCTTCCCTGGGCTTTCCCAGGCCTCCCTATGCGCTGTGACAGCCAAAGTTTGCTTTCTACAAAGTCACCTCCAGGCAGTGACTGTCTACCAGGGCACTGCAGAGCCTCCCAGCTAATGATGAGGTCATTCACTCTCCTCTCTTTTTCCTTTAAGATCCCTTAAATTTCCTTTAAGATAAATCCCATTTTGGCTCACCCTGTAAGTTACAGCCCCACTTCTCACTGCCAAGTGTGGGTGTCACTGCTGGCTCAGGGAGCATGGATCCTGTAAACTTGCCTCATCGGGAGGCTTTAAGGAGTGACCTCCAGGGACTAGACTAGTAGCTTGTTCTTCACAATCACTGCCCTCCCAAGAACATCCAGGATTTCAGCGTCAGTGCTAAGACAACCATGTCTCTCCCTGACACATGCTCGCTGCTGAGAATTCTAGGAAAAGCAGAGGGCTGTGCAGGTGCCCCTGCCCCTAGGCTAGGAGAGCTGGCAAATGCCTGGAGACCCAAAGGCCTCATCCTCAGGGCGGCCAACTCTTCTGTTTTAGTGATATACAGACTATCTTTTATTGTGATTTATAGTGCAACTTACCGGTTCAAACAATACTACCTGTATTCATAAACTTTCTTTTTCCTTTCCTTCCTCACTGCCCAGCTTTAGGTTCATTCTTGTAAGTGTTGCTGGTGTCAGAATAGGAACCTCCCTGCGCTTTGAAGGGATGAATGTGACCTCTCCCACATTCTCCGGTGCTGTGATGTACCTTAAACACAGCAAGGTACTTGGACACAAAGCCTGTGCCTGGAGCCCTTATGCACTTTCAGACAGACAGTGCATGGCCCTCGCTACAGACTCAGTGCCATTGTAGATGTTTCTGCATGGAAAATACATAAACACAAATATCTGCAGTTGCCAATCCACCACCATCTTGCAGCCCCAAGAGAGCCCCGGGAATCCAGGTTCCTTTGGTATTTCTGCTCCCTGCCCTTGGTGCATAGCCTCCATCCCCAGGACGACAAGAGGGCTGACTGAGCCCTAACATCATCCCACAGTCCAGCTGGGAAGAGAGCCAGCGACAAAGCCAGAGGGAGCTAGCTCCCACACCTCCCAGCCCCAGCTGAGTTCGCTTCTTGAGGGTATTTTCTGGAAGCCCCGCCTGTGACTTCTGCTGACACCTCACTGGCCATCTCAACTGCAAGGCAGCCTAGGAAATGTAGTGCTTACCTGTACACGTGGATTCCTGGAATCAATTCAGGGTCTGTCCTTGGGGAACCAGAGTGGGGATATTCAGTCACCAAAGATGCAGGTTCCCAGCTGTCCAGTGAAGTCAAGCGAATGGGGAAGGATTCGAAGTCACCTTTGGGTGTTTGGAGTGATCAGAGCTGTCTGCCTCCTCTTGGGGAGTGACAGTGCCCCACTCTGTTAAACCCCATATTTGCCCCCAACTCAGCTTGAGCCACAGTTACGCTCTTTTCCTTTATGTCCGCAGGACACCTGGCCTGGGTGGAGCCCACTCCTCAGCACCCACCTCACTTCTGGCAGTATTCTGCAGACCCCAGCCCTGTGCCTGTGCTCCTGCACAGCTGGAGATAAGGAGTGGGCCCTGGAAGATGCTCAGTCAGGCCCTGCTCCAGATTTTAGTTTCGCGGATAAGCACCACTATGTGTCTCTGCTCTTTTTGTTTTGCTGTAAAGACACATTGATAGGTTAAAATTGTTGTTTGTGCACAACACGGATCATGTAGCGTCTTCACATTAACCCCTAGTTACACTCTCTAAGTTGTCTATTTTCTTCCCCCAATATTTTTATTGTTATAAAAATACACCGAATATAAAAACCTTAACCAGGCCAGCCGCAGTGGTTCACACCTGTAATCCCAGCACTTTGGGAGGCCAAGACGGGTGGATCACTTGAGGTCAGGAGTTTGAGACCAGCCTAACCAACATGGCGAAACCCCGTCTCTACTAAAAATACAAAAGTTAGCGGCGCATAGTGGCGCCTGCCTGTAGTCCCAGCTACTGGGGAGGCTGAGACAGGAGAATCTCTTGAACTGGGGAGGTGGAGGTTACAGTGAGCCGAGATCACACCACTGCACTCCAGCCTGGGCAACAGAACGAGACTCCATCTCAAACAAACAAGCAAACAAAGAAACAGAAACCTTAACTATTTATCTTTCAAGTTGAGTTCTCCCTGTGTTTTCCAGGCTGGAGTGTAGTGGCTGTTTACAGGCATGATTATAGTACACTGCAGCCTCCAACTCCTGGGCTCAAGTGATCCTCCTGCCTCAAACTCCTGAGTAGCTGGGACTACAGGCATGTGCCACCATGCCACGGTATTAACAATCTAAACAAAAATATGATCATCTCAAAGATACAAAGAAAGCATTTGACAAAATCCTACATCCATTTCTGATAAAAACTCTTAGCAAACTAGAAATAAGAGAACTTTTTCAACTTGATAAAGAGCATCTGTGGAAAACCTATAGCTAATATCATACTTACCGATGACAAAATGCCCTTTGCTGTAGGTTCTACTCAGTGCAGTAAGCCAAGAAAAAGAACAGATTGGAAAGGAAGAAGAAATGTTGTCATTAGTAACAAGAGATATAATTGTCTATGTAGAAAATGCAATGGCATCTACAAAAGGCTACTAAAATAAGTGACTGTAGCAAGTTATCAAGGTTGAAATACAAAAACCAGTTGTATTTCTATATACTAACAACAAATAATCAAATTGAAATCAGTAGACAGTATCATTTATAAACATCCAAAATAATATGTACTTATGTATAAGTCTTACAAAAGATGTAAAATACATATCTATATACTGAAAACTGCAAAACAATACTGAGATAAATTTAAAAAGACTTTAACAAATGGAGAAAGATGCCTTGTTCATGAATTGGGATTGTTTTCACAAAGGACTCCATGAGGGTGGGATATGTAGGTGTCTGTGTGACAGTAAGGGAGGGAGAGTCACTTTATCTCAACTGTCTAGGAGTCTCA
Organism: Homo sapiens; assembly: GCF_000001405.40. Lineage (NCBI taxonomy): Eukaryota > Metazoa > Chordata > Mammalia > Primates > Hominidae > Homo > Homo sapiens. Next base: position 3,049,735 of record NC_000006.12, on the reverse strand, counting down.
ACGGCCCTGGGTGGCTGCAGGGTGAACACATCAAGATCTCTGGCTTTGCAATCCAGGGGGCCTGAACACTGGCATTTCCTGGTGAGCATGGCGGCATGGAATTGATGGTGGGGCTGGGGGAGAGCTCTGAAAAGATCCCAGGATACAGGGGCATATCAGGGGCTGGTCCTTGAATCCCCAAGAAGCTCCTGCAGACATCCACAAAGAACAGGCACAGCCTGGGACAGAAACAGGTCGTTCCAGGGTATGCAGGCGAGGGCAGTGCCACTCAGGGCTCCCCAGTGCCCCAAAACCCGCATAGCCTCCTTGGCCCAAACTACACCTATCTCTGCCTCAGCCATTCCCAGCAGCTGTGTTATGCTCAGGCCAGCTGTCCTCAAAGCTGGTGCTCATGCTGCATTTGGCTACTGGAAGTGCTACATTGATTTTTGCCCCACAAGATTTAAATGAGGGCAAAGTAGGCAGAAGGGAGGGGGCGCATGAAGAGCGACTGCACCTCAATGAGAAGAGAGCCCTCCCTAGAATAAAATGCTGCTGGTTTTGTGGTGCCTGATGAAGAAAAGGAAAGAGTGGTCTGTGCAAAATTTTATTCTGTTCTGTTCTGCTGCCCAGGGCACTCCTGACCACTGTGCAGGCCACAGTTACCCTGCGCCTTCCTCCCTGGCCTCTGCAAAGCACATGTGGGTCAGCTGGAACCAGGGCATATTCTTCCTAGTTGACATCCCAGAAAAGTCGGCCTTGGCTTCCAAAAACCACCAGTCATTCCTCAACTTCAAAGAAAAGACTCTAAGCCATAACTCTTTGCCAGCTTCACTCTGGAAAGGAAAAGTTGAACTTCACTTAGTGATCTTTTCTGGATTTGTCCAGGCTCTGAACTTTTCACATGGAAGTGCTTTTTCTACTGGGAGAAACAAAGTCAAATCTGAAAATCCAGGCAATGCCCCCATACCCACCGCACACCCATTACCCACCGCCCCCACCATCATGCAACTAGATGGAGAGCGTGGTCTAAGACGATCCACAGGTATTTTCCTTCCTAGATACCAAGATTTCCCCCAAATTCTCATTCCCTCTCCAACCTATGGACAGCAGTGAAACACCTAGAAAATGCCTGATACAAGCAGAGATTTTAAAAATAGACTCTCTGCCCCAAACTCCTTTCAAATGTTTTTTAATTTCAAAAATTCTCATAACCAGTTGGTTCTATTTATATTCGTGCAATACACATTACCATGAGTCAGGTAAATGGTGTGGCGCAGAGACAAAGATCACAGCTCAGCATTCTGCCTGCCTGAAGAGGAGGCCATCGGGAGTCCTGTTGTGCTTCCCAAGAGGGGACAGCAGGAACAGGGAGTCCAGCAGGATCACTGCTTCTGACACTTTTGTTTGCTCTTGGGGACCAAGCTCACTGCCTGCCCTGGAGGTAGCTCCGAGCTCACTAAGATCCATCACTCAGTCGGGCGTACTGGCTCATGCCTGCAGTTCCAGCACTTTGGGAGGCCAAGGCAGGAGGATCACTAGAGGCCAGGAGTTCAACTAGCCAGGGCAACAAAGCAAGACCCCCATCTCTACAAAGAATATAAAAATTGGCCAGGAGTGGTGGCACACACCTGTAGTCCTAGCTACTTGGGAGGCTGAGGTGGGAGGATCGCTTGAACCCAGGAGTTCAAGGCTGCAGTGAGCTGTGATTGTGCCATTGCACCCCAGCCTGTGCAACAGGGTGACCTCATCTCAAAAAAATAAAAAATTAAAACCTGAAATTAAAACCAGATTACTGAAAAATGGCACAGTTTACCAAAAAAAAAAAAAAAAGAGAGAGATACAACTAACTCCAAAAACTCCTAAGTACAGATAAGAGAGTTATTTCAGTCTCTTTATGCTGATAAATGTAAAATCTTCATTAGTACATCTTTTTTTTTTTTTTTTTTTTTTTTTTTTTTTTTTTTTCTGAGACAGAGTCTTGCTGTGTTGCCAGGCTGGAGTGCAGTGGCGTGATCACTGCAACCTCCAACTCCCTGGTTCAAGCGATTCTCCTGCTGCAGCCTCCCGAGTAGCTGGGATTACAGGCGCCCACCACCACGCCCAGCTAATTTTTGTATTTTTAGTAGAGACAGGGTTTCACCATGTTGACCAGGATGATCTTGATCTCCTGACCTTGTGATCCGCCCTCCTCAGCCTCCCAGAGTGCTGGGATTACAGGTGTGAGCCACTGTGCCCGGTCCATTAGTACTTCTTAGTATTGAGTACAAAGTGTTATTGTCTGGCAGATTTAACCAAATTCAACATATATTAAAAGGATTACACACCATGAGCAAGTGACATTTTGCCCAGGAATGCGAGAGTGGTTCAAGATAAGAAAATCAATTATTGGAAGATATGACATTAGGAAAACAAAAAAAAACCCCAAATACATGATCATCTCAATAGATGTAGAAAAGGCATTTGACAAAATCCAGCACCCTTTCATGATAAAAACACATAGAAAATTAGGAATAGAAGGGAATTGTGATAAATAGAAGGGAACCTGTGATAAACTGCATTTAAGAAGAACCCACTCTAAAACCATACTCCATGGTGAATGACTCAAATCTTTCTCCCTAAGATCAGACACAAGACAAAGATGTCTACTTTACCCACTACTATTCAACATTGTACTGAAAGTTCTATCTACAGCAGTTAAACAAGAAGAAATAAAAGGCATCCAAATTTCAAAGGAAGAAGTAAGCCTATCCTTATTCCCAAATGAAACGATCTTAATATAGGAAATCCCCAAGAACCCACAAGAACACTACTAGGGCTAATAAATGAATTCAGAAAAATTGTAGGATACAAAATCAACACACAAAAATCTGCTGTGTTTCTACACATGTGAAATGAACAAGTCACATAAATTATGAAATAATTCCGTTTATAGTAGCAACAGGGGTTTGTCTCAATTGGGCTCTGTTAATTCAGGGGGCTAAGTAATGCTAGGTTTAGGCTTTCATTCCATTCCATTCTATAAAAAGCAAGTTTTTCCAAACCCAGTACTTCATAACTCTCTTATAATCAAGCAGCCAACTGCTCCTCTTTTACTGTTCATTCATTGATATCAGTACATATCCCAATCAAAACCCCCTTCTCTTCAAGGCGAAAATGTTACTGCAAGATTGCCCTGTCATTTTGCTACACACAGCCTCAGGGCCCATCAGCCAGTAAGAGGGAAGCTCTGCTTCCCATAATGAGTGTGTCATCGCTTCTCATGTGTTTGCATGGTCTCCAGGCTGAAAGATGCAACATGTGATAATTTTCAGAAATACACATCCAAATGTTGATGATCAAAAATGGGGATCCACAAGGAACTTTTTGAAGCTCTTATCCAAACTATCTCCGTCCCAATTGCACATCTTAAAATCAACTTGTATGCCCTTGTGTAAATTACACAAAACCAAAAAAAAAAAAAAAAAGACCCAGAAAACTTTTTTCCCTTCTGAGTTAGTGACCTCATGGATTTTGTTTCACAGCTTATGGAAAACGGTGCAGTGACACTTGTGGCAAACAGGATGTTGGCAACAAAGAGAAAATATCTCTCCTCAAACTCCATCAACTCTAGCCTGCCAGCCTGTTGGTACCTGTGTAGTAAGAAGAGTCTGGTATGTTGGAGGGCTCTGGCTTGTTACAGAGGAGATCCTTACTTCCAGGACAAGCACTGGCCACAGGAAGAATAAGCTCTAAAACTCTCCCGTAATATCTCTGACCCAATTTAGCACACTTTTTTCCACTTCCCTTTTCAGGACTGAAACATAAAAGAACCAGTGTCCAGAGGTAAGTGATGTATGCCTTACACTTGTGGCCATCCTTTATTTGTTCATTCATAAACTTTGCTTAAAAGAGTAAAATTCCCAATTCCTTATAAAAAATACATTCTTGCCCTCATTGGCCACTGGCAAAGACTTTTATTTCCCAATGGATAAGACAGCCTCCTTCATCTTCTTGGTCATAGTTGAGATGAGGTGGATGTGGTCATCCACACACTTGGTCACACAACCGTCCAGCTGCTGCTTCACCTGAAGCTCCTTACTCCCAGCATCTATTGAATCTTTGGCTTTGTCATTGCAATGCATGGTGCACCGAGCCAGGTGGTCCTGGAACTTCTCCAACTCACTGGTGACCAAGGCCTGGACTTGAGCCAGAGGCACAGGGCAGCACTCGATGCACTGGTGCACCTGCTGGGTGAATGCCTGGCTGTCCTCACAACAGCTGGCGCTGCACCAGAACATGAGACCCTGTGTCTTCCAGATGTTCTCCCTTTCCAGACTCTTCACCATGGAGTCCACCACCTCCTGCACCCGCAGCTGCTGCAGCTCCACCATGGTGACCCTGTGCTGCCCTGCTCTGCTTAATTTTTCTAGAAATCTAAACTATTATAAAAAAATTAATTCTTGTAAGGCACAGACTCACAGTGGCTCATGCCTGTAATCCCAGCATTTTGGGAGGCTGAGGTGGGTGGATAGCTTGAGCTCAGGAATTCAAATCCAGCTTGGGCAACATAGCAAAACCCCATCTCTACCAAAAATAAAAAAATTAGCCGGGCATGGTGGTGCACACCTGTGCTACCAGCTGTGGGAGGCCAAGGTGGGAGGATCACTGGAGCCCAGGAAGTCAAGCCTGCAGTGAGCCATGATTGTGCCACTTCAGTCCAGCCTGGGCAACAGAGATCCTGTCATGAATAATAATAATAGTAATAATAATAATAGAGTATTAATTTTAAAAAGGATTAAAAATCCATTGGCCATATGTATGTGGATCTATTCCTCTCACTCTACTCTCTCTACTGTTTATCTTGCATCTATTCCTTTGCCAATATCATACTGTGTTTGTTAATTAAAGTACCTTTAGAGTAAATTTGAAAATTGTGCAGGGTAAATCCAATCTATTCTTCTTTTTCAAAATTGTTCTAACTATTCTAGCTTCTTTGCTTTTCTGTATAAATTTTTTGAATCAACCTGTCTATGTCTCCCAAAAATTCCCTGGGATTTTGACTGCAAATGTATTAAGTGTATATATAAATTTGGGAAGATTGTCATCTTTTTAATATTGATTTTTCTAATTCATGAACATGGTGTCTTTCTCCATTTATTTAGACCTTCTTTGGTGTCTTTTATCAGCTATTTTTAGTTTTCAGCATAGAGAGCATGTACATGTTTTGTGAGATTATTTTATTTGAGGATCTACTGTGAATTTTATTGTTTTAATTTTGGGTTCCAATTTTACATTACTGGTATATAAAAAGACAATTTACCTTTACACATTGACCTTGTATCTTGCTATATCATCTTATTAGTTCTAGAAGGTTTTTTTCTTTTCTTTTCTTTTCTTTTTTTTTTTTTTTTTTTGAGACTGAGTTTTGCTCTTGTTGCGCAGGCTGGAGTGCAGTGGTGCAGTCTTGGCTCACTGCAACCTCCGCCTTCTGGGTTCAAGCTATTCTCTTGCCTCAGCCTCCTGAGTAGCTGGGGTTACTGGCGCCCTCCACCACGCCGGGCTAATTTTTGTATTTTTGGTAGAGATGGGGTTTCACCATGTTGGCCAGGCTGGTCTCGAACTCCTGACCTCAGGTGATCCACCCACCTAGGCCTCCCAAAATGCTGGGATTACAGGTGTGAGCCACCGTGCCTAGCCTTGTTTTGTTTTTTCTTTTGTATATTCCTTGAAATTTTCTACATATACAACCATATAATCTGCAAATAGGGATAGTTTTATTGCCTACTTTCCAATTTGTGTGCCTTTTTGTAAATTTTCCTTTTCATTGCACTGACTAGGTGAGAATGGACATCCTGGCCTATTCTTAATTTTATGAGAATAGCATAATGATAGCTGTAGATATTTAGTTGTCTATTGTCAAATTAAAAACATTTTTTTTCGGCCCAACATGGTGGTTCTCACCTGTAATCCCAGCACTTTGGGAGGTTGAGGCGGGTGGATCACCTGAGGTCAGGAGTTCAAGACCAGCCGGCCAAAATGGTGAAACCCCTTCTCTACAGAGCAAGACTCTGTCTCAAAAAAAAAAAAAAAAAAAAAGACTTTTTTTTCTATTCCAAGCTTGCTAAGAGGTTCCTTTTCCCCCATGAATGGACAACATTAAGTTTGGTCAAGTGCTTTTTCTGCATTAATTAATAGGATCATGTGGGTTTTTTTCTAGTCTATGGTGGATTACATTGGTTGATATCCAAATATTGAACCTTACTTGCATTCCCGGAATAAACATTATTATGTCTTGCTGTGCTATTCTTTGTATACATTGCTAGTATAATAAACATTATGTCATGCTGTACTACTCTTTTTTTTTTTGAAAGAGCCTCACTCTTGTTACTCTTGTTGCCCAGGCTGGAGTGGGGTGGTGCGATCTCAGCCCACTGCAACCTCTGCCTCCCGGGCTCAAGCGATTCTCCTGCCTCAGCCTTCTGAGTAGCTGGAATTACAGGCATGCGCCACCACGTCTGGCTAATTTTTGTATTTTTAATAGAGACGGGGTTTCGCCATGTTGGCCAGGCTAGTTTTGAACTCCTGGCCTTAAGTGATCCACCCTCCTCAGCCTCCCAAGGTGCCGAGATTACCAGCATGAGCCACTGTGTCTGGCCTATACTATTCTTTTCATACATTGCTCATATAATAAATACCATTATGCCATGCTGTACTATTCTGTTTATACATTGCTGATTTGCAAATGTTTTGTTGAGGATTTCTTTGTATTCAAAAACACATAATGATATAGGTACAGTGGTCTATAATTTTCTTTTTTGTATTTGTTTTTGTTATAATAGTAATAAAAGCCTCATAAAATGAGTTGGAAAGTGTCCCTTTTCTATTTTCTGGAAGAGATTGTATAGGATTGATGTTTTCTTCTCATTTAAATAGTTGGTAGAATTCATCAGTAAAATCATATGGGCCTGGAGATTTCTTTTTAGAAGGCTTTTAACTATACATTTGATTTCTTCAATAGTCATAGGATTATTTTATTATGTCTATTTCATCTTGGGCGTGTTTTAGCAGTTTGTAGTTTTCTAGGAATTGGTTCATCTCGTCTAAAGTGTATGTGCATAGAGATACTCACGGTATTTGTTGCGGGGAGCAACAACTATCTAGGACAGTGGTGTGGGGTGTATAAGAATTTACCAAGACAGGCCAGGCGCAGTGGTTCACGCCTGTAATCCCGGCACTTTGGGAGGCCGAGGCGGGCAGATAACCTGAGGTCGGGAGTTCAAGACCAGCCTGACCAACATGAAGAAACCCCATCTCTACTAAAAATACAAAATTAGCCAGGCGTGGTGACGCACGCCTATAATCTCAGCTACTCGGGAGGCTGAGGCAGGAGAATCACTTGAACGCAGGAGGCAGAGGTTGCAGTGAGCCGAGATTGCACCATTGCACTCCAGCCTGGGCAACAACAGCAAAACTCCATCTCACAAAAAAATAATAATAATTTACCAAGAGAGTTGTTGATAAAGAAAGGCAGATTTATTAGAGAAAGTAGGAAAATACATTGCCAGAGAGACAATGGACAAGTCAGCAGAAGCTGACTGCAAAGAAACAAAGACTTGTGGAGATTTTGTAGGGCAGTGCTTATGCTGAAGAGGGCTTTGTGTAGTACTGATAATACCAAGATTGCAGTGAGTTAACTTGCAGGTGTTCTGTGATAGCTAGGTGCAGGAAGACTGAATTATTTGCACAGGAGGGCTATGTATCCCAGACCATGAGAAAGGCAGACTTGTAGCTTATCTGCTTTCTCTTTTTGCTTTCCCTTGGTCCTGCAAGCTTGACTCCCTTTCCCTAGTTAGGGCTCCACATTTCCCCACTAACAGAGCAACAATAACAAATCTTTGGTATGTGGACAAAGATCTCATCTTCCAACTGCTTCCTGCTGACCAGGGGCACCGAACCGGCCCTACCTAATCCTGTTACTCTGTCAGGAAATTACAAAGGCCTAAATCCTTGGCTTGGGAGTTAATTGGGCAGAGTCATTGTGTAACCATGGGGTTGGGGGCAGCATTTGTAGCCTAAAATTTTGTCCTGCTGTATCCAAAGGAGAGTCATGGAGTTCTTTTAGTGGCTGATACCTTCACTGCAGTGACATTTTAGTTTGAAATGGTTGTGTTCACAAAATTTGAAATTGTTGTGTTAGAAGACACAAAACAAGATATTGCATTAATAATACGTAATGCGAATAAGCTAATATAAGCATTATTATAGGTGACAGAAGTGGGGCCTGAGAGATAAGATTTCTAAATGTTAATTCAATAAGAGAAAATCAAGGAAAAGTTTGTAGATGTACTAGTGAGGAGTTAGTTTACTTTTGACCTTTATTTCTACATATTCCATTCCAGTTGCTGAACTATTTATAGGCATGAAAGAATTACTACACATTTTGCTGGCATTAACTTTATTGTTTCCCCACCACAGAAAAAACCTGTGGAGGTAAACAGTGAACTTGTCTCCCATTCCTGGTGTGTTTGGTTATAATTGAGGGTGTAATTGCAATGGGCTCGAATTAAAGCCCCTAGGACAAGGCCAGACCCCTTGGAGTTTGTGATGTAGAGGTGTGCCTTACAAGCCTCTGCATATGATGAAGACAAACAAATTTTTAATGAGGCATTTTTATGGAAACAGAAAAAAAAAAAAACAAAGATTAACATTGGGCACAATTTATCCAGATGTTAAAGCATTTTTAGTTATAGAGGAGGAAGGCAGTGGCAATCTGACCCTTTTCTTTCTTTGCTTGTATTTTAAAGAATGGACTTTAGTTTGCAGGACCTTAGGAAAGAGGTAATAGCAACTCCATTGAGTTTATTTTTTTCTTTTCTTTTTTTTTTTTTTTGAGACGGAGTCTTGCTCTGTCACCCAGGCTGGAGTGCAGTGGTGCGATCTCGGCTCACTGCAAGCTCTGCCTCCCGGGTTCACGCCATTCTTCTGCCTCAGCCTCCTGAGTAGCTGTGACTACAAGCGCCCGCCACTGCGCCCGGCTAATTTTTTTTGTATTTTTAGTAGAGACGGGGTTTCACCGTGGTCTCGATCTCCTGACCTCGTGATCCACCCGCCTCGGCCTCCCAAAGTGCTGGGATTACAGGCGTGAGCCACCGCGCCCGGGCGAACTCCATTGAGTTTAAATTAGAAAAATAAAAGGAAAAAAATGTTGAATGCATTGGGAACTTATAGCCCAGAAAGAATTCAGGATTTAGTTAAAATTGTGGAAAATAATAAAAAACTTTAAAGCAGTGAACAAGACTAGAATTTGATGACAGATGTACTACAGCTTTTCTGAAACATAATTTTTCTTTCCAGTTTACTAAGAACAAATTATAATAGAACAAATCTATTGGTAAAATAAGTTTTAGCCTTATTAAACTTGGCTTGAGTATTTGCATAAAGTTAGCAAGAATAATTATTTTGCATATAGACTCTTCTACTTTTTAAATTTGGTTTTGCTGAAACTTTATTCCATAGAGAATCTCAGATTTGAATTTAATGCCTTAAGGCCAGTTATGGGTTTGTGCCATTAAATACCTGTAAGAGTTGGGTAAATTCTTTTCCTCTTGAGGTCCCAAGATAACTTGGGGCTCCTGGGCCTGTTAGAAAGTGACATTCTTTAGTTATCACAGGTTAGGAACCCTGCACAGGGACTGTGTAGATAAGGTATGAGGCCAGCTTTCCCAAGGAACTTTTATTGGCTTTATAAGTTAACTTTGATTCCGCCCCCCCAAAAAAGCATGCCATTCCAGTTAAAGCTTGGTAAAATAACCAGTGTCTCCAATTGTGTCCTGTTACAAAAGAAAACAGATTTTTTTTCCTTTTTTTTTTTTTTGAGACAGGGTCTCCTTTGTCACCCAGGCTGGAGTGCAATGGCACAATATCAACTCACTGCAGCCTCGACCACCCAGGTTGAAGCAATCTTCCTGCCCCAGCCCCCCAAGTAGCTGGGACTACAGGCATGTGCCACCATACCGAGTTAATTTTTTGTGTTTTTTATAGAGACAGGATTTTGCCACATTGCCCAGACTGGTCTCAAACACCTAAGCTCAAACAATCCACCTGCCTGAGTGCTGGGATTACAGGCGTGAGCCATGGCACACAGCCAGAAAACAGAAAATAGATTTTCACACAGCCAGAAAATTGGCCATGGCACACAGCCAGAAAATAGATTTTGAATGAATATAAGCAAATAACTATAGTATCCGTGATGGCATGAGCCATGGCACACAGCCAGAAAATGGGCCAAGACACACAGCCAGAAAATAGATTTTGAATGAATATATGCAAATAACTATAGTACCATAAATTAAGTATATTTGCAAATAGCTTTTACATTCTGGAGAAATCAGGTAGAGAGTAAGATATGCTTTAAATTTTGGTTACAAGATTATACTTTAGCCAATTGTTAAAGGCTGTAAATAGCTTAAAAGAGAAAAGTTTTTATGGACTTTGAAAAGCAAAAGAGTTAACAATGTTTTAAACAGAAAGCTACAAAGAGATTATTTTAGTTTTCCATTAGTTTAGTTTATGTAATTAACTTCTGTTCTGCTCGATATTTATGAACACATTAGCTTTTAATGAGAGTCTGGGAAGTTTTTTCTTTATTCTAATGTTACAATTTCCAAAGTTATTAGAAACCTGCACTCGAGAGCACCTGTTAGAGGTTGGAATTGAACAATGAGAACACATGGACACAAGAAGGGGAACATCACACTCTGGGGACTGTTGTGGGGTGGGGGGAGGGGGGAGGGATGGCATTAGGAGATATACCTAATGCTAAATGACGAGTTAATGGTGCAGCACACCAACATGGCACATGTATACATATATAACAAACCTGCACGTTGTGCACATGTACCCTAAAACTTAAAGTATAATAATAATAATAATAAAGAGCACCTGTTAGAGTTCTACAGGTGATTATAAAACCACCTTGATCCAAGGCAGATAGAAAAAAGAGGACAATAAAGAGCTTTAGAAAACTTTATTTAACTCTATAAGGCAGGTTAACCATTTGAGCTCTGAATTTTTCTTGTTGCAACTTGCCCATAAGTTTAAAATGTACATGAAAACAGGCCATAATATGCAAGCAGCTGGAGTGTTAAAGAGAACAACAAAATCAAAGATTAGGATGTTAGAAATTGTCTTTCCCTTTTAAGGCTGGATCTTTGGATTGAACAGATAAAGAGAAAAGGAAAAGAAAGAGTGGAGAGGCAAGGGTTCAGCTTTACAGGAGGGCTTGTGAGCCTCCCAGCTACTGCATGGTGTGGAGCTAGCACTCTTTTCCACTTTATCTCCCATCACAGAAAGCTTTAGCACTTCAGACCCACAGAATGTGGAACAAATGTTTCCCACCTCCACAAGTTACTAGTTAAGTTGAGCTGTTTTCAGCTGGAGCAGAGAGCCCCTTTAGATTAAGGCCACTGGGGGTTGAATTTTTGTTCTGGGGCTCCTTCAGCTTTCAGGGCAATCCTGTTTCCAGTGGCTAAGCTTGTGGCAGAGTGGATAAGCTGTGTACAGCTTTTCCCCATTTATTTTATTGGGTAAGTTGCCTTTTAGTGGCCTGGGCTTTTGCACAGATGGCAGTTATTTGGAGGAGTGTCCTTAGGGAAACCTGGAGAAGCTGGGGGCTTGTAAAGCAGCCAACCATTGGACCTGCCTCTTGTCCCTGCATTTTGTTTTTTTCTTTTCCTTAGCCCTGTTTTCCTTAATTTGCTTTCGATTATAAAGACTGAGGAGGTTAATCTGAGGATTTCCTTCATAGGGGCCATGCTGTGTTACAAAAGAAAATTAGATATTTCTTTTTTTGAGAGTCTGAGGGTTAAATTTGTCTTATTGCTTTAGGATGCAGCCTATCAGTGAGTCTGAAGGAATAGACGGGGTTTGTTCCATGGCGGAACTGGAAAGCACACCCCTCGGGGGCAGTGCCAGTCAGGGTCACGAACCACACTTCTGCTTGGGGCATCCTGCCAAGATGAATGCCGAGATGTTTGCCAAGTTCCACATATGTCTGCTGAGGGACTTGGGGTGCACTGTATAAAGGGGCATCCCACCTATTAGTAAAGATCATCCAGGGGGCCCTACGGGTGGACAGCCAGTCCAGGTTCTCACTCACACTGGGTGATCAACCATGTTTGGAGTTTGAGATTGTATTTTGGGTATTGTATGAGGAAGGAAGGGTACAAGAAGATCTCCACGGGTGCCAGCCCAGGAAAGGGAACGGGGAGGGGAAGACTCACTATTCTGAGGCTGTCTGAAATTACCTAATTTGGCAACATCTGGAACAGGACGGCTGGGTGACTCCCTAGAATTTGGACTGAGACAGAGGGTCTGAGCCACCCGAAACGTGTGTGAATTTGCCCTGAATGGGCTTCCATGTCAATTGCAGCACACGTAGGGACTACAATCAGAAAAGAGAGGCGAGCCTTTTCCCCTTCCGGGCAGGGCAGCTGACCCCATTCACTCTTTGGCCTTCAGGCAATGCTGGACAGTGGCCCTTGCCAGTTACCCTCAATTACCAAAGAACTATTAAGAAACGGCAGCCGACAGACGAAAAGAGAAAAGGACTTAGGTCCCTCACCTGACCTGGGCAGTGGCGGTCAGACGTTTCCACACAAGCACCTTTCAGTCCCACGGGAGTATAGCCCCAGCCGGAGACCTGCAACTGTCTCTGTGCTTAGACGCTGTCCACCGAGGTTCCCGAGTTGGGAAAGAGAAAGAGAGAGGCAAGAGAATTCCCCATGAGGAGAGTGTTCCCCTGTACGGAGAGATCCCAGAAGGACCCAGAAATGTCATGGGTGAGTGGTGACTATCTGGGCCAGTGGTGTGGGAGTGTAAGAATTTACCAAGACAGTTGTAGGTAAAGAATGGCAGATTTATTAGATAAAGTAGGAAAATACTTTGCCAGGGAGACAATGGGCAAGTCAGTGGAGGCTGACTACAAAGAAACAAAGGCTTGTGGAGATTGTATAGGGTAGTGTTTATGCCGAAGAGGGCTTTGTGCAGTACTGATAAAGCCAAGACTGCACGGAGCTAACTTGCAGGTGTCTAGCTGGGTGCAGGATTGTGAGTTATTTGTGCGGAAGGGCGATGCGTTCTGGACCATGAAGAAAGGCAGACTTGTAACTTACCTGCTTTCTCTTTTTGCTTTCCCTTGGACCTGCCAGCCTGACTCCCTTTCTCTAATTAGGACTCCACAGTATTCTTTTGTTAGCTTATTAGATTTTGAATGTCTGCAGGTCTGTAGTGATCTCCCACCTTCAATTTCTAATGTCGGTAATTTGTGTCTTCGTTTTTGCTTGATCAATCTTTACAGAGATTTATCAGTTTCATGGACCTTTTCAAAGAATCAGCTTTTGTTTTCATTTCATTTTCCCTACTGTTTGCTATTTTCAATTGTATGGATTTCTACTCCTGTTTATGATTTCCTTCCTTCTGCTCGTGTTGGGTACGTTTCACTCTTTTTTTATTTCTTAAGGTGTAGGCTGGTATTATTGATTCAAGACCCCCTTTTCTAATGTAAGCATTTTAATGCTGTGAATTTCCCTCTAAGGACTACTTTAGTTGCATCTTACATATTTTCATATGTTGTATTTTCATTTTCACTCAGTTAAAAATACTTCTAATCTCTCTGAAGACTTCTTTGACCCATGGGTCACTTATAAGTATGTTTAATTTCCAAGTGTTTGGTGTTTTTTCTATTGTCTTCCTTTTATTGATTTATAGTTTAATTCTATTATGGTAATAACATATTTTGTATGATTCCAATTTTTCCAAATTTGTTAAGCTGCAGGGTATGATCTATCTTGGTGAATGTTCCAGGTGTGCTTGAAAAGAATGTGTTTTCTGTCATTGTTGGATGGAGCGTAATATACATGTTCATTGGATCTAGTTGATTAATGATTGTGTTAGCCTGTTTTGCATTGTTATAAAGGAATACCTGAGGCTGGGTAATTTATAAAGAAAAGATGTTTATGTGGCTCATGGTTCTGCAGGCTGTACAGGCACAACACCAGCATCTGCTTGGCTTCTGGGGAGGCCTCAGGAAGCTTCTAATCATGGCATAAGGCAAGACGAGCCAGCTTATCACATGGTGAGAGAGGGAGAGAGAGAGATAGAAGGGAGGAGGTGTCAGGCTCTTTTAAACAATCAGCTGTCATGTGAACTGGATAATAGATAAGCTGTTTCAACTAGATAATAGAGTGAGAACTCACTCATCACCAAGGGAACGGCACCAAGCCATGCATGAGGGATCTGCCCCCACGTCCCAAACACCTCCCACTAGGCCTGTCTCCAACATTGGAGGTCACGTTTTAACATGAGATTCGTAGGGGACACACATCCCAACCATACCAGTGATGGAATGTCATCTCCTTGATGATTTTCCATCTCTAGTTCTCTGTATTGCTGAGATAAATGGTTTCTAATGAGAAATCTGCAGCCATTTGAATTGTTGTTCCCCTATGGGTAATATATATATTTTTTCTTTGCCTGCTTTCAAGAGTTTTTCTTTATCCTTATTTTCATGTGTTTTGCTATGATATATCTGGATGTGTATTTCTGTCAGTTTATGTTGTTTGGAGTTTGAGATTGTATTTTGGTTATTGTATTTTTCAGTTGTAAAATTTCCATTTGCTTCTTTTTGTTTTTTTATTTTCGAGACAGTATAACTGTGACACTCAGGCTGGAGCGCAGTGACGTGATCCCAGCTCACTGCAGCCTTGTACTTCTGGGCTCAAGCAATCCTCCTGCTTCAGCCTCCTAAGTAGCTATGAATACAAGCACGTGCCACCACACCCACCTAATTTTTTTTTTATTTTTCGTAGAGATGGGTTCTCACTATGTTACCTAGGCTGGTCTCGAACTCCTGGTCTCAAGTGATCCTCCCACCTTGGTCTCCCAAAGTGCTAGGATTAGATGCGTGAGCTATCGTGCCTGGCCTGTTTCTTTTTTATATCTTCGATTTCTTTACTGAGACTTTCTCCTTTCTCCTGGTTTCTAGAATATTTGTAATGGATCATTGGAGGGTATTTTTGGTTTTGTTTTTGTTTTTTCTGTTTTTTTTTTTTTTAATGATGGAATTTCATTGTCTCATAGATCTGGCCAGAAGTCTGAAGTCAAGATGTCGACAAGACTGGTTCCCTTTGGAGACTGTGAGGGTAGATCTGTTCCATACCTCTCTCCTGGTTCCTAGTGGGCGTAGGTAATCATCGGTGCCCTTGGCTTGCAGCAGCCTCACTATAGTCTCTGCCTCCAGCCTCACATGGCCTTCCCCTCGGAGGCTTCTCTGGGTCTCAAATCTCTCTCTGCTTTCTCTTATAACAACACAGCTACTGGGTTTAGGGTCCACCCTAGATTCAGGATTGTCTCATCTTGAGATCCTTAACTTACTTATGCCTGCAAAGACCTTGTTTCCAAATACGATCACATTCTCAGGTACCAAAGGTTAAGTCTTGCACATGCCTTTTGAGGGGGATACAATTCATCCCACTACAGGGAATAATTTACATATGATAAAATTCAACAATTTTAAGTGGCCAGGCATGGTGGCTCTCCCCTGTAATCCCAGCACTTTGAGAGGCCAAGGCAGAAGGATCGCTTGAGCCCAGGAGTTTTAAGACCAGCCTGAGCAACACAGAGAGACCAGATCCCACTTCCACAAAAAATAAAAAATAATATTTGCCAGGCGTGATGGTGCATGCCTGTAGTCCCAGCTGTTCAGAGAAATCTCTCACCCTATTTCCACCATGTGAGATACAACGAGCAGTTGGCAGCATGTAGTCTGGAAGAGGGCCCTCACCAGGACCGGACTGTGTTGGCACCCTGATCTTGGACTTTCACCATCCAGAACTGTAAGAAATTAATTTCTGTTGTTGATAAGCCACCAGTCTATGGTATTTTGTTATAGCAGCTAGAACTGACTAGGACACTCTATTAAGAAATCTATACTTGACATTCGGAAAATATTGAGAAAGGCAAATACGACCAATGCAAAATTTGGAGACAAATGAAGTTGTTTCTTTCTTTTTTTTAAACTAGAGACTGGGTCTCACTGTGTTGCCCAGGTGGGTTTTGAACTCCTGGGCTAAAGCAATCCTCCTGCCTTGGCCTCCCAAAGTGCTACGATTAGAAGTGTGTGCCACCACACCTGGCCAAGGTTGTTATATTCTAGTAATGATGAAAATGCATCTCAAGCGCATAAGCTTGGGAGGTACCTCCTGAGTAGTGACTGAGGGCATTCATTTGTCTGCACTTGAACTATGGGTGTATGTTTATATTTTGGAAATGTTAAGGAGTACCATTAGTTCCTTTCTCTAAACCCCTATTCCTGGCCCTTGTTATGCCGTTCAATATGTGGTCATAGTGGGACAGTTTCTTAAGAAGAAAGAAAGGGAATCCTTAAAGAAGAGACTAAGACATTAATTAATCCAGTAACTCACAAGCGATGTCTTTCCTTGTGGCCCTTGGCTCAAAGTCCATGGCATGTAAATCAGACACAGTGACTGTGCAGCCCTGCCTGCTCAGTTCACCCACACCCATGTTCTTCAAGGATGCACGTAGATGATGACCACTTTCTTACCTAAGTCACGAGCAGTGAAAGAACCTCATGGGGAAAAAATTCCTCTTAGTCATAATTCAAGGAAGAAGAAAACCATTAGCAAATGCATCACTGTAGTCAAAGCTGAAAAGTAAGACTTTTAGTACATACTCTTAAAATGGTGATCATTTTACACTATTTTAAGGGATAACTTATAAGGTTTACTTTCGTCTAATTTTACAATACACAGTCTTGGAAAATAAGATGGAATAAATCTATGCCCTCTCCAAATGAAATAACTAAACTTTATGAAAAGTCTGATATAATGTGGCTATTCTAGGTGAGAGGTTTTAGCCTTGTCCTTCTGAGAATAATAATAGTTCATGCTGCATGTTGAATTCACCAGGGCACTGACTTTTGCTCTTAGCCATGGTCCTACCCTGACAAATATCAATCTGATCATAAGAATGTTTAGGTTTTCTTCTCCTCCAAGCACAAGGGAATTTGATACCTAATACAAAGCAGAAAGAATGGCCAAAGATCCTGGGAGCCTGAGACCCATCCTCTTTGGGTGGTGATACAGGTAATGGGGAGAAATCTGGCAGTGGCAATGTCTCACGGCTTCGATTATGTGGGCACCTCACCCACCCCTAGTGTGGCGCATTCTCATTTCAGAAATCCCTATAAGACTTCTCGTCTTTCTGGAAGACAAATGGGCAAATAGCTTCTGTGCCAGAGAGAGATGCATGAAAGGCAAAACGCTGAAGTGTGAGCCAGGGAAACTGTGATTATAATGATACAGCCTGGATTTGGAACCGTCTGTTCAGGCCCTTCAAAAGAAAAAATATTGTACATAATGGTAAAATCACTGGTTTCAGTTCATCCTACCAAGAATAGGAGTTGAGAATTAAGCAATGTTATTGTTAAAGTTTTTAATCCTGATCCCCAAAGCCCATGTTTCATGACTTCTAAAAGTAGCTTAATTTTTTCTCCTGAGAATTTAATTTATGGCTCCAATCTGAATATGGCAAAAAGGAGAAGCCCCTGATAGATCGGCCAGCAACCACCTCTCTAGGAGCCAGCGTCAGTGGGGCGGGTCTGTGAGGTTGTCCCAGGGCCCTGCTGCCACCTGCAGCCTGTGCAGCTCAAGGGCATATTCGTGACAGCCAGCCCGACATCAAGTGCACCTGGCATCCTCTGCTGCACAGGAGTGGGAAATCCTGGGAGGTCGAGGCTGCAGTGAGCCATGATCGTGCCACTGCACTCCAGCCTGGGCGAGAGTGAAACCCTGCCTCAAAACAAAAACAAAATCCAGTTCATCTCATCGGTCCCTAAATGCCCTTAATAGCCGCCCTTCCACCCTTAATAGCACAAGAATGCTGAGTGTTTTCTTTCAAACCTTGAGAGGTGAGATAATAGCAAAGTCTGATTTATCCTCTAGCATGGGGGCTTTGACCCTGCCATTCTGGGGTCACTGTTGAGTTTACATCCTGCACAGGCTCATGGACATGTGTCCACTAGGGTGGACATGCCCTTGAGTGTTCAGGGCTCACACTCCCAAGGAGACCTCCGTGTGGACTCTGAAGGTGCCATTGACTCAGCTATTGTCCCCAAAGCAACATGCCCTGCCTCGGTGGTAGGCCTCAAGAAGTTTTGGTGTTGGCGGGGGAACAAGTGGTGTTTTGTTTTGAGACAGGTTCTTGTTCTATCACCCAGGCTGGAGTGCAGTAGTGTGATCATGGCTCACAGCAGCCTCAACCTTCTGGGCTCAAGTGATCCTCCCACCTCAGCCTCTCGAGTAGCTGGGACCACAGGCATGTACTACTATGCTCAGCTAACTTTAAAAAAAATACTTTGTAGAGATAGGGTCTCACTATGGTGCCCAGGCTAGTTTCCAACTCCTGGGCTCAAGCAATTCCCCTACCTCAGCCTCCCAAAGTGGTAGGATTACAAGTGTGAGCCACTGTGCCTGGCCAAGAGGATTTTTAACACAATATGCATCCAGATTTATTTTATATTACTCTTTCTTATCACAAACTATTTCACATGTATAAAAGTAAACTGTATAGAAATTGACTTATACATGACAGTGAAATGAATACTTGAGTTCTCACCATTTAGCTGAAGACACAGATCATTAAAAATACCTTCAAACACCTGTGTGCCCCCTCCCATCACATTACTATCCTGAATATTTAATTATGCTTTTCCACATGAATTTGGCAGGTGATTTTTTATTTGGTATGTTTTTATACTTGGACTGAGTGATATCTATAACCTGTATTTTTCACTCAACTTTATAATTATGAAATATACACATCTTGATGTGTGGACCTGTAGTTAATTATTTGCTAATTGGTTAGTATAGTGAGATGTGTAAATGCTCAATTTTACAGTGAATTTTTGAACGATGTACTAATGGACACTACCCACCAGCAGAGTATGAATTCAACTGTTGACCCACAGTTTCACTAACACCTGGTATTGTCTACATTGCTGGGTGCAGTGATTTTTTTATACCTATGAGATCAATTTTGTTCAAAAATTTTTTTAGAGGGAGTTTCGCTCTTGTTGCCCAGGCTGGAGTGCAATGGCGCGATCTCGGCTCACTGAAACCTCTGCCTCCCAGGTTCAAACAATTCTCCTGCCTCAGTCTCCTGAGTAGCTGGGATTACAGGCATGCACCACCACGCCAGGCTAATTTTGTATTTTCAGTAGAGATGGGGTTTCTCCATGTTGGTCAGGCTGGTCTCGAACTCCCAACCTCAGGTGATCCGCCCACCTTAGCCTCCCAAAGTGATGGGATTACAGGCGTAAGCCACGCGCCTGGCCAATATTTATTATTTTAATGGCATCTGTTTGACTACCACTTACTAAGAGATGTGTCCTGACGTCTCCCACTCTGATAGTGGATTTTTCCATTTCTTTTCATAATTCAGTGTTTGCTTTATATACTTCGAAGCTGTTTATTAGACACATACCAAGTTTGGAATTGGTGTAACTTCATATTGAATTGATGGGTTCATCATTACACAGAGACCTTCTTTATTCCTAATCATGATTTTTGCTCTAATGTCTATTTTTGCTTGATATTCATACAACGATCCTACCTGCTTTTGAGTATTTGCATGGTAAATCTTTTTCCGTCCTTTTACCCTTAACATTTTGTGTTGATGGCTTAGATATATCTCCTGTAAACTGAAGGTAGCTAAATTTAAGCTTTTTATCTAGCTAGACTCTTTTAACTGACATTTTTTTCTATTTACCTTTTTTATGATTACAGGTATATTAGGATTTTTTTTCCACCATTGTATTTTGCACCTCAATTTGTCCTTCTTTTACTGTTGACTTTTTTCCTCCACTCTTATCTTCTTTTGGATGATAGCGTTTTTTCTTATTCCATTTTCCCCCTCTACTAATTTGACCTCAATTTCTATTATTTTAATACTTATCCTAGAAACTTGAATATACATATATCACTTAAAAATCTAAATCATTAGCTTTATCCCCCTCCCTGAAAAAAGAACTGTTTTTATTTGGATTATACCCTCTATATATTATTTTTGCCCAGGATTATAATTTTATCTGCTTTTTAACCCTATAAATTAGGCTATATTGTTATTTATTTACTTTTGAGACATGGTCTCATTCTGTCACCCAGGCTGGAGTACAGTGCAATCATAGCTCACCGCAGCCTTTAACTCCTGGGCTCAAGGGATCCTCCCACCTCACCCTTCCGAGTAGATGGGACTACAGGCGAGCACTGTCACACACAGCTAATTATTTTTATTTTTTGTAGAGATGAGGTCTTGCTGTGTTGCCCACACTGGTCTCAAACTTCTGTTCTCAAGCCATCCTCCCACTTTGGCTTTCCAAAATGCTGGGATCACAGGTGTAAGCCACCGTGCCTGGCCGCTAATCTATGTTTAATTTACTCAGTCTTTCATGTATTTTAATTCTAAACGTTCTTTTGTGTTTCAAATCTGGTCACTTTTGAATGTCTTTCTTTAAACATTTTATACATGATTATTTTGTGTTACATATCCCGTAATGCCAATATTTGAAGACTGTGGGTGATTAAATCTATTGCTTGTTGTTTTTATTTCCAATCATGTTTTGTTTCCTCATGTGTTTGATAATTCTGGAGAGCATATATTACACTCATCTTAATCAATGGGAATCTTAATAGCCATGAGATCATGGTTTTCTCCAGAGAGAATTTATGTTTACTTAAATTACTTACTATACTTAAGGTTTTTATCACTTGGGATCATTTTGTATTTTGCTGACTGCTGGTTGTGGATACAATAAATTCCAAATCCAAACTCTATGGAACAGGAGTTTATTTTTCTACCGAGAAGGAAAAAGGCTGCCTGCCAGTCTCCCTGTAAGGGTGAACGTACTTTTCTACCCACTTTGGAGCTCCTCCACAAAGTCTTGATTCAGCTGCCCACATGGTGTGTCCCGAATTGGTGGGTTCTGAATTGGTGGGTTCTTGGTCTGATTTCAAAAACCCAGCTGCAGACCCTTAGGGTGGGTGTGACAGTTAAGTTTTTTTTTTGGTGGGTTTGCAGTCTCGCTGGCTGAGGCAGAAAGTGAAAGCTGCAGGCCTTTGTGACGACTGTTACAACTCATAAACGCAGTGTAGACCAGAAAAGAGTACAACAGCAAAAGCTATTACAATAAGCAAAAAAACAAAACCGTCACAGCATGGAAACAAATCCGACTTCGTTGCTATTGCTGGCTAGGGCAGCCTGCTTTTATACTCTTATCTGGCCCCACCCACATCCTGCTGATTGGTAGAGCCAAGTGGTCTGTTTTGACAGGGTGCTGATTGGTGCGTTTACAATCCCTGAGCTAGACATAAAGGTTCTCCAAGGCCCCACCAGAATAGCTAGATACAGAGTGTGGATTGGTGCATTCACAAACCCTGAGCTAGACACAGGGTGCTGATTGGTGTGTTTACAAACTTTGAGGTAGATACAGAGTGCCAATTGGTGTGTTTACAATCCCTGAGCTAGACATAAAGGTTCTCCACGTCCCCACCACACTCAGGAGCCCAGCTGGCTTCACCCAGGTGGAGCTGCCTGCCAGTCCCGCGCCCTGTGCCTGCACTTCTCAGCCCTTGGGTGGTTGATGGGACTGGGCGCCTGGAGCAGGAGGCGGCGCTCTTGGGGGAGGCTTGGGCTGCCCAGTAGCTCACGGAGAGTGGGGGAGGCTCAGGCATGGCGGGCTGCAGGTCCCGAGCCCTGCCCCGCGGGAAGGCAGCTAAAGCCCGGCGAGAAATCGAGCGCAGCGCCCGTGGGCTGGCACTGCTGGGGGACCCAGTACATCCTCCGCAGCCGCTGGCCCGGGTGCTAAGCCCTTATTGCCCGGGGCCGACAGGGCCGCCCGGCTGCTCTGAGTGCGGGGCCCGCCAAGCCCACGCCCACCCGGAACTCCAGCTGCCCCGCAAGCGTCGCGCGCAGCCCCGGTTCCCGCTCGCGCCTCTCTCTGCACACCTCCCTGCAAGCTGAGGGAGCCGGCTCCGGCCTTGGCCAGCCCAGAAAGGGGCTCCCACAGTGCAGCGGCGGGCTGAAGGGCTCCTCAAGTGCCGCCGAAGTGGGAGCCCAGGCAGAGCAGGCGCCGAGAGCGAACGAGGGCTGTGAGGACTGCCAGCACGCGGTCACCTCTCAATGGCACAGCCCCCAGGCCTGGTCTTGCTCCCTTTTGCTTGGTTATTAGTATTTGATGCCAACGCAGCCTAAGGTTCCACTCTCGCTTGCCAATCCACTGTCAGCAACTTGTTTATTGTGGTGGTGGTGGTTGTGGGGTGAGGGGTTGGGGATATGCTTGGGCATTTTCCTTCATTTTTATGATCTTAGTAACACATTTAAAAGTGCACTTGCTGTGATTTACTTGGCATCTAGAAGTGTTGCTGCAGGAGAGCTTTTCAGATGTCTTGTCTGCCACAGAACAGGAAGTGAAAGTCTCTGCATGGTTTTTGACCTCACCCAGACACGACACAAGAATCTCTGACCCACAAAACATGAGATCCTTGTTGAGCCGGGGACCCCGCCTTAGGTTTCTGGTGTCGCTTCTTAAAAATGGCCTTTGTTCAGTGCTGCTTCAATTCCCCGAAGGGTTCCTTCCAGCAGTGGAGCAGAGCACAAGCTTTGGAAAAGGCCGCCTGGTTTTTAGTTTGCGTGCTGCCTCTTGTAGGGGTGGAGCCTGGTCAAGTGACTTGAGCTCTGTAAGTTTCGGTTCACCATCTGTAACATGAAGATAACAAAACCTTCTTACAGATTGTCAGCTCAGGCTGCGAGACATCAACAGAGGACATACCTTCCATCCATGATTCAAGAGTTCAGATGACACACACTTGGATTCTGGGCAGCTTTACTCTCAATACATTCTCATCAAACACATCACTGGCTGCATCGACGTTCCAGCGCATCAGCCCACTTTATGGGAAGAAAGAAATGGGGAGAGATGAGCAGAAATCAGACTTCTTAGCAGACACAACCCGAGGCAGGGTCAGCACCTGGGCCGTCAGGATCCCAGACAGGATTTCAAGCTCCTCCTGGGATTCTAGTGGGGAAGGTTTCTCCTGACAGGACTGAGGACACACTGGCACCTTGCGTATCAGCTGGGGCAGCTATGGAAGCTAGACTCCCTTTCTTTCATAGATGGGGAAAGTGAGGCCCGAAGAGGTGGGGGAGCTTGTTCAGGGGTACTCAGCTGCTGGCAGAGCTGGGCCTGGATGCAGGACTGCATCAGCCTCTTCTGCCTCTGTCACTTCCCCACAAGGGCAGATTCTTTCTCACCTTTTCCTCCTCCTTCTTTGTGTATACACTTAACCTGCTTCATGAGGAGATATGCTACTTTAAATTTTGTTATAATTTTTATATACCTCTATGAATGTTTTTAGATTATGGTCATCAGATTCCAAAATTAATTTATGTTTTGTCTTCACTGGAGTACTGCATATTCCCATGTAGATAGTCACCATGCTTGCAGCATTATTTAGGATTCTTTGATTGTAACTGCTGTACACTCAACTCACAGCATTAAGCAAAAAAGGCAACATCTTGCCTCACATAACTGAAGAGCTGAAGAGGAAAAGCTCCAGTTCAGGCAGGGGTGGATGCAGGAGTTCACAGCGTGTCACTAGGAAGTTGTCTCTCTGTGTGGCTTGGCTGCACCGTCCTCTGCCTGGGCTGCATTTGTAGGCCAACGCTGTCTATGTGTTGGCCCCTGACCCACTTACTTCATCACAGCTCCAAGTCCAGAAACAAGAAAGGTCTCTCTTTCCTGATAGGTCCAATGAACCCCTGAGTTCAGTCTCACTCCCTGGGGTGGTTACAGCTAGGCCACGGAACACTGTGATCAGTCAGGGCTGTGAACTGCCACTCCTGGGGTCGGAGGAGGGGCTACCCTTATGAACACCACATAGCTTGGTTGAAAGGGCATGGTTCCCCCACCACACACAAAAAAACAAGGTGTTACAATCAGAAAAAATGGGAATAGATATGGGACAGGCAAAGATGACTCTTCACAGCATCTGCCATGCAGCGGCTCAGAGTGCTTTGTCACTACCCCAATCACAGGCACTTTGGTTGCTTCCAGAGAGGAACCAGACGCCCTGGGTTCAAACCACATCTGCCCCTCTACAGCTATGACCCTTGGGCAGATGTCTTTTTTTTTTTTTTTTTTTGAGATGGAGTCTCGCTCTGTGGCCAGGCTGGAGTGCAATGGCACGATCTCACCTCACTGCAACCTCCACCTCCCGGGTTCAAGTGATTCTCCTGCCTCAGCCTCCCAAGTAGCTGGGACTATAGGCATATGCCACCACACCCGGCCAATTTTTGTATTTTTTAGTAGAGACGGGGTTTCACCATGTTGGCCAGGCTGGTCGTGAACTCCTGACCTCAGGTGATCCTCCCACCTCGGCCTCCTTTTAAAGTGCTAGGATTACAGGATGGAATAACACTTTCCTTTAAGGGCCAACGAAATCACTTGAGCATGCATCCATCAGAGGGAGGGCGGCTTAGGAGAGGTTCCCACACGGTGCCCACTGCTGAACTGTTCATTAGCTAGCTTTTTCCTGCATCCCCATCTTATCGCCATTTTCTGGGGCTCGGTTTTTCCGTCTTGAGAAAGAAATAGGCCTGTGCTTATTTCCCTCTCCCCTGGGACAAGGCACCAGCCACTCTCCTGAGCTGCTGGGAACTTCTCCAAAATTCCTGGTGCTTCCTCACATTGAGCAACATGAGTCTCTTTCCTCTTTTTACCAGGCTCCACCCACGAGAGGCTCTGAGACAAACTACACAACCAAAGAAGTCTTTCTGCATCCACAAAGCCCTGTTTGCCTAAGAAAAAGGTCGCGGGGCCCAATCACACACACCTGGCTGCAGTCATTTCCAATTTTCTTTTTTTTTTTTTAATGGCAATTCCTGCTGCCCTGCTGATACTGAATTTATTTTTTATTTTAAGTTTTTCAGCAATAAGATCTTAAAAACCGGCCGGGCGCGGTGGCTCATGCCTGTAATCCCAGCACTTTGGGAAGCCAAGGCAGGCAGATCACCTGAGGTCGGGTGAGTTCAGCCTGACCAACATGGAGAAACCCTGTCTCTACTAAAAATACAAAATTAGCCGGGCATGGTGGCGCATGCCTGTAATTCCAGCTACTCGGGAGGCTGAGGCAGGAGAATCGCTTGAACCAGGGAGGTGGAAGTCGAGGTGAGCCGAGATCGCGCCATTGCACTCCAGCCTGGGCAACAAGAGTGAAACTCCGTCTCAAAAAAAAATTCTTAAAAACCGGCAGAAAATGTATCAGGGTGCCCGGTACTAACAGGAGATGAGACATAGGCAAGAGCCCAGCCCTCGAATTGCTAACAGTTTTGCTTGGGAACCGGAATTAATGTCTTCAGCATACTCAGGCCAAGGTGACAGCACCGGCTCTCAGAGAGGTTGGATTTCAGCAACTTCCCATCCTCTCAACCCACACAGGAACAGGCCCCTCGGCAGTTCGAGAACGCACCTTCCCATACTTCAGAGTTGCCGGAGGGAGGGTGGAGGACCTCCTGCCTCACAGTGATCTGAGGTCCAGAAACCCTAGGGACCCCAGCTTGAGGCTCTGAAGGGCTGTGACACAGCCTCTTTGCCTGCCAGCCCCGCCCCGGATGCAGCCTGCTGAGCGAGGGTGGAGGAGGGGAGCTATGTGGCCAAAACCCTGAGTCACTGAGGAGCACGAGGGAGCCGCCCTTTCCGGCGTGTCTCCCGAGGCTGTCTGCCCTTCCCCAGCCTCTGCAGCCTACAATCCCAATCAAGAGCCAGCCCGGTTTCTGCAAGCACACAGGAGCAGAAGAGAAACCAGTGAAGACTTCACCGCTGCATATCAGGCCAGCGACGGCTGCTCGGTGACGGCGCTGCTCTGCCACCAAGAAAAACCCCAAACCCACTGATCCCACAAAGAGGGGAGAAAAAGGAAGGCTTCATGCTGAAGAAGGAGAAATACAAACGTGTATGTGCCGGTTTGCCTCTGGTCGTTACCGTGGAGGCATTCACACGCCTGTCCATTTGGCATTATTATGAGCGATCCCCAGACAGAAGAACTTAAGGTCAAGTTTTACAGAGATAACCAAGGACATCTTAAAGGAGACAGGCTGTGCGATCATTGGAAGAGGGAAGCTGTGGATCTTGCATTCATGCATTTGGATGAAGATGACACTGGAAACTGCACGTTGCAGGTTGAGGTGGCCAAGTATCAACGGAATGGGAAATATGAGGCTTCAGGAAGGAAGTGCGCGAACCACAGGAAGGCTCCGTCTCTACGGCAGAAGCGGCCACGCCGCAGCCCATCCAAACGCCGCGACACGAGTGAGTTGTCCTCATCGAACACATTTCATCCTGTGGATTTTGAGGATGGCCAGAGAAGACCTTCAAGGAGAGTCAAGTTTGGACCAACTCGGAGGCTCATTGTCTTTGACAGACACCCAGCTGGTGAACCTGTGTCCTGGAGGAATGCAGGAGCAGCTGCTCATTGTATTCAAACCTTTGATGGAAGGTGGTTTGAATGATAATGGTTGAACAGACTCCAAGGCTGAGAGGACGGGCGGGCGGCTTCCTTCAGTGTCCCTGAGGCCAACACACTCAGTGCTCCGATTCCACAGAGGGGGACTTTGGGTGGTGCTGGGGGCGTTGAGGAAGAAGGGCCCCTGGGCACAGCCAGCAGTGCTGTCCTCAGTAGTGATGACAAGGAGGAGGAGGAAAAGGGAAAAGAGGAGGATATGATGACAAAGATGATATTTAATCCCTCAAACTTGCTTTTAGGGAAGTTCCTCCATCTGCATGTGGCTGTGTGTCAGGGTGATTATTAGTAGGGTTACGTGAACACGGCACAGTGGTACAATGCCATCAGACTAAATTTTTTAAAAGTTTTAAATTTTCATTGTAACTGGCAATTAATGATTTTTAAATTATTTTTATTTATTTATTTGTTTTTTGAGACAGGTCTCATTCCGTCACCCAAGGCTGGAGTGCAGTGGTGTGATCTCAGCTCACTGCAACCTCTGCCTCCCAGCTCGAGCGATTCTCTCACCTCAGCCTCCCAAGTACCTGGGACTGCAGATGTGTGCCACCACACCTGGCTAATTTTTTTTTTTTTTTATAGGGTTGGGGTTTCGCCATGTTGCCCAGGCTGGCCTCAAACTGCTGAACTCAAGCAATCTGCCCATCTTAGCCTCCAAAAATGCTGGGATTCCAGGTGAGAGCCATCACGCCTGGCTATTTTTAAAAAGAGTCTTGCTCTGTCATCCAGGCTGGAGTGCAGTGACACAGTCATGGCTCATTGCAGCCTTGAACTCCTGGACTCACGTGACCCTCTTGCTTCAGCCTCCTGAGTAGCTGGAATTACAGGTGCGTGCCACCATGCCTAACTAATGTATATTTTTAAATTTTTTGTAGAGATGGGTCTCATTATGTTGCCCAAGCTGGTCTTGAACTCCTGGCCTCAAGCAGTTATCCCATCTCAGCCTCCCAAATTGCTGGGATTACAGGCATGACCCACAGTGCCCAGCCATTAATTTTTTTTTTTTTTTTTTGACGGAGTCTCGCTCTGTCACCCAGGCTGGAGTGCAGTGGCACAATCTCGGCTCACTGCAAGCTCTGCTTCCCAGCTTCACGCCATTCTCCTGCCTCAGCCTCCCGGGTAGCTGGGACTACAGGCGCCCGCCACCAGACCCGGCTAAATATTTGTATTTTTAGTAGAGACAGGGCTTCACTGTGTTAGCCAGGGTGGTCTCGATCCGCCACCTCAGCCTCCCAGAGTGCTGGGATTACAGGCGTGAGCCACCGCACCCGGCCTCAGACAACATGACTTTATTACTGGAAACCAACTAAGAAAAAATTATGATTAGGAGGAGAAAACAGCAAACGGTCGGGGTCAAAAACCAATATTCAGCAATCAATAGCTTTTACCAATCAAAAGAACTTTTAGAAGATATAATTGAAGACAAAATCCTATTTATAATAGCAAACAACAGCAAAAGCAAGGAATGAACTTAGTCAATGTGCACTGCCTGTAGGAGATGACCTCGTGATCGGCATGCCCGCCTTGGCCTCCCAAAGTGCTGGGATTACAGGAGTGAGCCACTGTGCCCAAAAAAATAAATTTTGTAATGTTTCACTTAACAAAAGAGATACATTCTGAGAAATGTATCATTAAGTGATTTCATAATTAGTTGATTTCATTGTCACGCAAACATCATAGAATGCACTTACACAAACCTAGATGGTACAGCCTACTACACACCCAGGCTTTATGGTAGAGCCTATTGCCCTTGGCTATAAACCTGTAGAGATGTTACTGTACTGAATACTGTAGGCAACTGTAACACAATAATAGGTATCTCTGTATCTAAACATGGAAAAGGTACAGTAAAATTACTGTATTAGTCCAGGTGCAGGCAGCTCATGCCTGTAATCTCAGCACTTGGGGAAGCTGAGGTGGGTGGACTGCTTGAGACCAGGAGTTCAAGACCAGCTTGGGCAACATAATGAGATCCTGTCTCTACCAAAAATTAAAATAATTAGCCAGGCGTGGTAGCATGTGCCTGTAGTCCTAGTTACTAGGGATGCTGAGGCAGGAGGATCACTTGAGCCTAGTGAGGTATGATCATGCCACTGCACCCAGCTGGGGCAACAGAGTGAGACCTCATCTATAAAAATAATAAAATAAATCTTAAATAAATTTTAATAAACAAAACATGGCATTATAATCTTAGGGGACCACCATCGTACATGCAGTCCATCACTGATTGAAACATCATGCAACATATAACCATATATGTTAATGGCTGTTCAATTAAAACTTCATAGTCCTAATGTAAATTTAAAAAGACAAAGAAGAAAATTAAGCAACAGGCCCAGATTCAACTTTTCTATGAAAAATAGAAACTGTCATGTTGAGTCATAAAATAAAAAAACTAGCAAATCCAGCTCTATGCTCAGAGAATTACCAGAAAATAAAATTACATGAAGCTTGAATATAGGGAGATGGAAAGATATTAGACAAATATTAAAGAAAATCTGGGCCAGGTGTGGTGGCTCACACCTGCAATCCCAGCACTTTGGGAGGCCCAAGGTGGGAAGATTACTTGAGGCAAGGGGTTTGAGACCAGCCCGGGCAACATAGTGAAACTCTGTCTCTTTAAAAAAGAAAGAAAAGAAAAGAAAGAAAGAAAAGAAAATCTCAGTGAGTGATGGTCAGAATAGAATTCAACATAACAAGCTCATTATTAAAATATTTGATCTCACTGTGTACAATTCTGAAGACACTCATTCATGTACTTCATTAAATATTTCTAGTTTGCTAAAAATAGAATTACCCTTCAACCCAGCAATCCCATTACTGGGTATCTACCAAAAGGAAAAAAAAAATCATTCTATGAAAAGATGCCTGCACTTGTATGTTCATCACAGAACTATTTACAGTAGCAAAGACATGGAATCAACCCAGGTGCCCATCAACAGTGGACTGGATAAAGAAAGTGTGGTACACGGACGCCATGGAATACTATGCAGCCATAAAAAAACATGAAATCCTGTCCTTTGCAGTAACGTGGATGCAGCTGGAGGTCATTATCCTAAGTGAATCAACACAGAAACAAAACCAAATTCCCCATGTTCTAACTTATAAGTGGGAACTAAACATTGGGTACACAGGGGTGAAAAGACGGGATCAATAGATGCTGGGAATCCAAAAGCGGGAAGGAAGGGAGGAAAGGAAGTGTTGAAAAACTATCTATTGGGAACTATGCTCACTGTTTGGGTGATGGGATCAATAGAAGCCCAAACCCCAGCGCCACCCAATATTCCCCTGAAACAGTACTGGCCATGTGCTCCTTAAAGCTAAAATTAAAAACAAACAAAAAACAGAAAGAAAAAAGTATCCCCAGGTAGCTATGTTGTAATTTTATTTCATGACAGCACCATCTTCTCTTTGCCTGCGCCTGGGCCTCCTAGTGTGCTGCTTACGTGATGCCCACGTGCCACAGAGTTATTGCCCGAAGTGCCAGTGGGCTGTGCAGGGGATGGGCTCTTCCTTCCAGATGGTCTGCAGCCTCTGGGACCACGCAGCCACCATCCCCTTTCTTTCTTCTTCGGATGCAATTTCAGGAGCAAAGCTGATCTGAGGGGCAAGGACTTTAAATCCACAGAAGTGTAATGTGCCATGCTAAAGCCACAGGGGAAGAAAAGAACTCATTAGAAACTACACCTGTTACATACCATTCAGTTAAATGATTTAAGGGGGGAAATGGTGTGAAACAAACCTTCAAAAAATCATGAAACAACCTTAATGTTACAGGCAACTGAAAGCTAAACTTCCCTATGGCTTTAGGACACAGCCTTGCATAAGAGCCGTGAAGAACTTGGGGCAGTTGCAATTTCCAAGCTCTATTTTTATAACTGCAATTAACCTACAATCTTTGCAACTGATTCAGATGCCAAACATTATAGTTCTGCTTGATTGGGCAAATTATGGTACATTCACACTATAGATTATTCCAGAATGAGGTTATTCTAGCTATAATATATACCATGGAAGTTTGTTCAAGATATCTGTTAAATGAAAATAACAAACAAATTTTAAGCCGTATTTATGATATACCATTCATGTAAAAGAGCAGTAAATGTAATAAACCTATAATAAAAATTATGTATGTGAGAAAATATATAGGCCCTAAGAAAATAAATCAAACCATTTAAAGTGATTCTTTCTGAGGTGGGAGGGATTAAAGGGATTTTCTCTTTTTATATTTCATATTGTCTCTTTTTTTTTTGGCCATAATATGTACTTCTGCAAACTGAAAAAAAAAAAGATTTTTTTAAAAGCAAGAAGAATTTGAACTTGGCTAATGACACATAAGAGACCAGTTGGCCTGTGAAGAAGCAAGGTCAGGTTTATAAATTATCATTTCCTTCAGTAGACTATCAGTAACTGGAATCACGTACTTTTTCCTTTCAAAGAGGACCACTTTTTTTCTAAAAATGTCACACTCAATCCTCTGCATTACTTCCTTTAAAACCCACACCCTCATCCAGGCCTGCCCTGTCAGGTGGGGAGTGAGAGGCCCACACACCACTATCCACATTTTTTTCCTCAGGCAACATCATTTTATTTATTTGTTTGTTTGTTTGCTTGTTTTTGAGGTGGATTCTCATTCTGTTGCCCAGGCTGGAGTGCAGTGGTGCAATCCTGGCTCACTGCAACCTCCGTCTCTCAGGTTCAAGCGATTCTGCTGCCTCAGCCTCCCAAGTAGCTGGGACTACAGGTGTCCGCCACCACACTCGGCTAATTTTTGTGTTTTAGTAGAGATGGGGTTTCGCCATGTTGGCCAGGCTGGTCTCAAACTCCTGACCTCAGGTGATCCACTGCCTCAGCCTCCCAGAGTGCTGGAATTACAGGCGTGAGCCACCGCACCCAGCTTCAGACAACATGACTTTATTACTGGAAACCAACTAAGAAAAAATTATGATTAGGAGGAGAAAACAGCAAATGGTCGGGGTCAAAAACCAATATTCAGCAATCAATAGCTTTCACCAATCAAAAGAACTTTTAGAAGATATAATTGAAGACAAAATCCTATTTATAATAGCAAACAACAACAAAAGCAAGGAATGAACTTAGTCAATGTGCACTGCCTGTAGAAGGAAAAATCATTGTGTTTTGAAAGGACATAATAGGATTAATTTCTCTGATATATGAAGAGCACTGACAAATAGAAAATTAAAAAATACCAAACCAATAGGACATGGGCAAGGCACGTGCACCTAGAGAGAGTTCACAGAAAAGGGGTGACGCGTGCATTTTCCCAGCAAACTCCCTACCCCTCAAGAACGAGCTCTCCCCCTGTCTCGACAAACCTCCCTTAAACAACCTGGAAGAACAGTTGACCCCTAGGTTTCTGGGTTCCCTGGAGCCCCTGACCTGGAGTCTGCTCCCCACTCCCTCCCTCTGCCACCCCTCACCAGGGGTTCCTTCGTGGGACACCCCAGCACGTTGGAACTGCTCTGCCCACCACCTTCCCTTTGGCAGGTGGCCACTACTCGGCCACATTTCAGGCCCAGGGACACTCACGCAGGCACCAAGAGGTCCCCTGGGGAAGCAGGCCTGGGAGGGGCCTGCGGACTGGGAGGTGGGTGTGTGCTGGCTCCATAGGCCCCTTGCCCCTGTGGGGGTTGGCATGGCCAGCAGAGACCAGCATGCGGCCATCAGAATGCAGGGCCTGGGGTGCCACTTGCCAGGGTCCAAGGGCAGTGCTGCCCTCACCAAGCACTGCCAGAGCCATATGGATGGCCTCCACCCGCACGTATCACAACACACGCAGGGCCACCTTGGGGCCATTCTGCTGACCAAGCTAAGCAGGTTTGGCTTAGCTTCTGCCCAAACCATATCAAAAGCTATAATTAGGGCATGTTTTCCCTATTGGTCAAGCTTTTCAAATCTGTCAAGTAAAGCATTTAAAAGGGGCAAAATGTTATAATTTTCTTGTATCCAGGGGAGTCAAAATGGTGTGGGGCATCACGCTTCCATCCCATCTCATCTCACCCCTCGGGGAGCTGAGGGCATGTATGTGTGTGCGTGTGTGTGTGTATGCATGTGTGCATGTGTGTGTCTGTGTGTGCGTGTGCCAACAAGCAAGGGAGCCACTCGCAGCTGGTCTACCTGGAGTGGCCACAGGAAGTATCGAGAATCTCCATTGACTCCTGTCTTCGTGTACATCTCGGCCGTGCCTCCCGTGGTTACGGAAAGGAGCGCTAGTTTACCCTGCAAGGGAGAAAGCAGATGCATTTGTGTGGACTCCAGAAGAGGACAGAAATGTTGCTGAGCCTCCAGCACACGGGCTCAGCACAGCCAGCAGGGAACATGCGTGTGGACACCCTCCAGGGATGGACAAATGCAACACTCCCATCCATAGGTGACAATGACATCCCAAGAGGAGGAGGAGACAATCCAAGTGAATGGACCAAGCAGACACAGAAGCTCTAACATGCCCAGGTTGCTGGTGGAAACCTGGTTTCCATGACACCATGTGTGATGGATACGGCCGAGGCACTGACCACAGGACAAGGTTCCCAGCACACAGGGCTGCTCAGTAAGTGGTAGCACCATTCATGGTCCAAGACACATCTTGGTTACTCAGTATGTTTCCCTTACGTGCATTTATTTTCTGAAGCTTTTAGAATTTAAAAATCGTTCCTTTTTTTTTTTTTTTTTTTTGAGACAGAGTCTCGCTTTGTCACCCAGGCTGGAATGCAATGGTGCGATTTTGGCTCACTGCAACCTCCACCTCCCAGGTTCAAACCAGTCTCCTGCCTCGGCCTCCCAAGTAGCTGGGACTACAGGCGCCTACCACCATGCCCGGCTAATTTTTGTATTTTTAGTAGAGATGGGGTTTCACCATGTCGGCCAGGCTGGTCTTGAACTCCTGGCCTCAAGTGATCCACCCTCCTCGGCCTCCCAAATTGCTGGGATTACAGGCGTGAGCCACTGCACCCAGCCTTAAAAATCATTGTTTTAGTAAGAATTCATAGCTACCACATGTGGCACATCTACCAGATTCCATGCCCTCCTCATCCTGCCACGTGGGTGTCGCATGGTCTTTTCTCACAGCAGGCACATGATGCTCAAGGGGGTGAACTTGTGCCAGGCCAGGGCTGGGCTCTGCACCAGGGAGATACTCTCTCTGGAGCCAGGGCTGGCCACCGGGTTGCCCACATAAGGTTGCCCAGGTCCCCCGTCACCTGACACCTGACCCACTCCCTTGTTTGCCATGCGTGTAGTATGCTGTGGATGTGTTCGCAGCCCCACCAGACAAAAAGCTCCATGATTTCAGAAACGATGCTGTGTCCACCCGTGTGCAGCACATGGTGCTTTGTACATAGTGGGTGCTCAATCGATATTTGCTAAGAAAAGGAAGGAAACTAGAAATATAACTTGATAGAAGACGCATCCTCTGTCCCCTCCCTCCAACTATCCATAGTGATCCTTATCCAAGAGCACATACCTGGAGCAAACCGGAATCGTAGAATCCTGGGATGTCAAAGGCAAAGCCCTGGCACAGCACCCTATCCATCCAGCCCTTCAGGATGGCTGGCACGCTGAACCAGTACAGCGGGAACTGTGGGCGGCAACACCAAAGAGAAACTGAGGCTGCGGCTCGCCTCAGGTTTCCTAGTTTAGTTTATCTGGTGATTCGGAATGAAGCCCACAGCCCTCCTCTTCCCTGGCAGCTGGGCAGGTGAGGGTAACCCTTATGGTCAGCTCTGAAAGGTGCAGTGTGGGTGTCAGACGGGAACGGAGTTGACAATGGTCCTTGTTGCTGTTACAGGTAGCTCTGCATCCCCCAGTGATGACAGCCCCTGATGCTGGCCCTGGGCAGGCAGGGAGGGGACGAGGAGCTGTGCGTAACACCAGCTTTGGAGCAGCAGTCTGTGATCAAGCCAGTCAAAAGGAAGAGTATGGAAAAGCATGCCCCTTCGCCTGCCTGGGGTGTGTTGTTAGCATCTGGAAGTCAGACTGAGTTCGGTGCTGAGCATCTATGGATTTAGACACCAACTAAAGTCATGTTTGTATTCCTTAGACCAGCGCTAAGATCTCCCTATCCCATAGATGCCCTAACATTACATCCAGTGTTACCGCCTGGGAAGGGAAATAAACATAGGCAATCATCTGTTACCAAAGGTGGAAGCCAATGTCTCTTGTGCTTTCCATATAAAACAAACTCAGGACTTGGCATTGAAACCCAAGCTCCACGACCTGCTGCTGTGTGACATTGGCAAGTTACTTGACCTCCCTGTGCCTCCTTTTTCCTGATTCATCAAATAGGGCTACTAATAGTTCACAGCTCACAGCATCCTGGTGAGGATTCGAAGACACACCACAGTGCCCAAAACAGAATCAATGCTCAGTGAGTGGTGGGCTCTGATATTAGTAGTGCAGTAGTGATGAATGAAATTTTTATTAATGTTGAATAAAAGAATAACTTATAATGCAGACCCTCTGGACAAACTATCAGAAAAAAAGGGAAAGTAGGGAAATGGAGTGAAATGAAGTGAAACAAAAGAAAGGCCATTATAGAAAGGCCAGGTCTTAGCCTACCCAGCCACCGGGTTATGGGAGTGGAGTGGGTGCGAGGAGGAAAGCGGGCTCCACGTGGCCGGCCGACCCAAGGGGGACAGGAGAAGCAGAGCAGAGAGCTCAGCGTGGCTCTGCTGGGACCACGCACCCCAGGATACAGGCCCGTCATACTGGCATGGTATTAAGACGGAGATGGTAAACCACATGGTCACCTAGGCCTGAGGACTATGAGTCCACCCACCTGTAATTAGGACAAAGGACGTCCTGCACTTTGGTCAGATTAGCAGCTCAAGGTCACTGAGTAAAGAAAGGGCTGGTGTCGGGAAGGGGTGTGCAGAGGCAAGCCTGGGCAGGGATGAGGCAGCCCTCTTCCCGCACATGCAGGTTGCTTTTATGAAGGCTTGGGAACCTCATCATTCTGGAAAGGTGGTTTTGTCTGGAAAGTGGTCACATGCCGCTCACCCCCTGCCTTGCCCTCACATGGCGGACTCATGCGAACAGTGCTCTCGTTCTCCTGCCCACTCCGCATCCTCAAGCAGGGTTGGAAAACAGAAATGATCTGAACCAATCAGATCCCTTGGTTGGAAATTCTGGATCTAGGGGATCCAGTCCCTGGCAAGCAGTGAGAGAGAACAGAGCCAAGAGGCAGAAAGGAGCAGATGGGAATCTGTGGACGAGAGCAGCTACAGCTCTGTCCTTGGGATCCAGGAGGCCCAAGTGACCAGAGCCCTTATAATAGATTCCCCTTTCCTTCTAGTTGGACAGGAATTTCTGTCACCCAACAATTCCCTCAAAGCTCATGTGCGTACTCTGCTGCCAGGTTTACACAGCCACAGCCATGCCTGCACATCTTCCTTGCAGTGGCGGGAAGTGGCCTGATGAGTCAGCACTCCTGGAGGGCATTTTGCTGGGCCAGTTCACTCTGCAGTGGCATCACCTCCTTGTGAACAAATACAGGAAGGTGGCTGGGCTGGGGGTGAAGCAACCACTGAGAGGGTAGAAACCAGAGATTTTCCTCTTAATGATCAGGATATTTAAGGCAGGATATTTAAGGAGATGCATTTGGCCTGATTTACCCTGATAAACATTTGTGCAGATAAATGTGGTTCTCAAGCAGCCCCAGAATGTCTCAGGGCAGGAACGGGAAGAGAAGGGAAGCAACAAGACTGGCAGGTTTCAGATGATTCTTGGACCACTGGAATAATGGAAATATCCTTCATTCCTATTTACATGGCAGTCGGGATTTGGAGTGAGTGATATTGGCTACGTGGATATCTTTACCCAATTAGGTAAAGTGTTTAAAGTAGTGTTACATCGGCCGGGCGCGGTGGCTCACGCCTGTAATCCCAGCACTTTGGGAGGCCGAGGCGGGTGGATCACGAGGTCAGGAGATCGAGACCATCCTGGCTAACACGGTGAAACCCGGTCTCTACTAAAAATACAAAAAACTAGCCGGGCGTGGTGGCGGGCGCCTGTAGTCCCAGCTACTCGGGAGGCTGAGGCGGGAGAATGGCGTGAACCCGGGAGGCGGAGCTTGCAGTGAGCCGAGATCCCGCCACTGCACTCCAGCCTGGGCGACAGAGCGAGACTCCGTCTCAAAAAAAAAAAAAAAAAAAAAAAAAAAGTAGTGTTACATCTACGTACAGTGTTTAAAGTAGTGTTGTAACTAGATGAAGTGTTGTAACTAGGTGAAGTGTTGTAACTAGGTGAAGTGGTGTAACTAGGTGAAATGTT
This sequence comes from Homo sapiens, assembly GCF_000001405.40. Taxonomy (NCBI): domain Eukaryota; kingdom Metazoa; phylum Chordata; class Mammalia; order Primates; family Hominidae; genus Homo; species Homo sapiens. The sequence continues at coordinate 3,012,836 of NC_000006.12, read as the reverse complement.
GTAACTAGGTGTTGTAACCAGGTTACAATATTTGCTCAGTAAGTGTGCAACTGTGCTCAAAACATTGATGCCACTTCCAGAAGCAGCACAAAACTCAATATTCAGAAAGAGTTTGTACATAAGATGAATCTGATTCAATATATTAATTAGAGAAAAACAAACCTGAAATATCACTAGGTCAGCCTCCCGAACCTTTTTCTGCTCATCAGTGATGTCGCTAGCCAGAGACCTTTGCTTGTAGGCTTCGTGGGTTTCCACTCCATAATTGAAAACCTCAGGATTAGAAAGAGTACCTGTCGGGGAAGAGGCCAAACATTCTCACTCCTAGGTGGGCATCCACAGCCCATCCCAACCATCCCAGTAGCACTGTGTATACCGGACTCCTCAGACAAGTCAAAGACATTTGCTGCAACCTGACCAGAAGCTGCACCCTGGGTCCGAGCTAGGGAAAGAGAAGCAGTCTGGGAGGGCTGCTGATTGAGCACTTGCTACCTAGCAGGTGCTGTGCTCTACACACATCACCTTTCTTCATAACAACTGGTGAGACTGGTGTATTTCCCAATTTACCAGAGAGCAAACTGACACCCAAGAGAGGCTGGATGTCTTGTTCAATGCCAAACAGGTCTAAAAAAATAAACTCTACGCTTTAATTTCATGCTCACCTCCACATTTTTGAGTATCTGTGTCTTGATTTACATATTTTATATTGCTTATCTTTGGCTCTTAACAGGTCACGTAGTGATTATTGTTTTTGATAGATTTGTCTGTTAGACTTAATACTAGTAATGAGTGGACTGTACACAATTACAGTATTAGAGTGTTCTGTGTACTTACTTTTACCAGTGGGTTTTACATCTTCAAATGTTTTCTTTTTGCACATTAGTGTTTTTCTTTCTTATTGAATTCCCTTTAGCATTTCTTGTAAGGTGGGTCTGGTGGTGGTGCATTTTCTCAGCTTTTCTTTGTTTGGGAAAGACTCTCTCTCTTTCAGAGTTGAAGGCTAGATTTGCTGGGTACAGTATTCTTGGTTGACAGTTTTGTTCTTTCAGCACTTTGAAAATGTCCCACTACCTCCTGGCCTATATGTTTTCTGTTGAGAAGTCTGTTGCCAGATGAACTGGAGCTCTGTTACATGTTATTTGCTTTTAGGATCCTCTTTTTGTTCTTGACCTTTGAGAGTTTAATAATTATATGCCTTGGGGTAGTCCTATTTGAGTCAAATCTGTTTATTCTATGACCTTCCTCTACCAGGATATTTATCTCTTTCTGAAGTTTTGGAAAATTTTTCTGTTATTATTTCTTTGAATAAGCTTGCTATGCCTTGCTCTTGCTCAGCTTCCTCTTAAGCACCAATCATTCTTAGATTTGGTCTTTTGAGGTAATTTTCTATATTTTGTAAGAAATCTCCATACCTTTTTCTTTTTTCTCCTCTGTGTATTTTCAAATCACCTGCCTTTGAGTTCACTGATTTTTTCTTCTGCTTCATCCATTCTGCTGTTGAGAGCCTCTAATGAATTTTTCAGCAAATGTATTTCTAGTTCCAAGATTTCTGTTTGATTTTTTAAAAATTATTTCAATCTCTTTGTAAAATTTAACTGATAAATTTCTGAACTGCTTTTCTGTGTGATCTTGAGGATTACCACATTTCCTTAAAAGTGCTATTCTGAATTCTTGGTCAGAGAGTCCAAACAGTGCCGTCTCGTTAGGTTCAGTCACTGGTTCCTTGCTTTGTCTGTGTGGAGAGGTCATGGTTCCCTGTTTACTGTTGTTTCTTGTGGATGACATCTATTTATTTCAGTCTTCTATGTCTGACTTGTTTTCATTTTTATTACATATATTTGCTTAGAAAGTCTTTGCAACTTTCTTATTAAATTTTTTTTTTTTCCTCTACTAAGCCACCACCTGCTTTTTGGCACTAGATGGTGGTTTATGCCCACGTTTGCCTCAGCTCTAGTAACCTACTGTTCAGAGTGTGCCAGTCCTGAATATGAGAGGTTCCAAAGGGGATAGCATGGTAGTGTGGGAAGGCTGGCTAGCAGCTCATGCCCAGGAAACCTGCAGAATGTACCTCCTACAGTGTGGTGCTGCTGAACAGCCACTCTGGTTTGGCATCTCCTTTGGCTAAGTTACAGATCAGAGTTTCCAGGGCTGGGGACAATATTCCCATCTCCCTCCTTTGTCTCTGGCTGTTGTCAGGGATATTTCTCCCTTTAGGCACTCCTGATGCTTCCTGTGGGTTGAGGCAGGAACAGGTCTCCTTCCTGCCTGTTTCTGGGAACCCCAGAAAATTGAGAAGCTGATTGTCCCCCTTGATCTCTTTTCCAGTGTAGAACCTGTGACTTGGGAGGAAATTTCCCACACAGCTGGTGCTGGGTAGTTTGTGGGGAGGGGTGTCGTGGATATGATAGTCCAATCTCTTACCGTCTGCTTGGAGTTGTTTCACTTATGTGTGGTCTTGGGAACTATTTCATCTTCATATTTGACTTCTGGGATACTGCTGGTGATAATCCCAGTGCTATCTATTTGTTTTTGGAAAGTGAAGCTAGCTTGCTTCTATAATGCCATTTTGCAGCTGGAAGTCAACATTTTTTAAAGTAAAAAACATAAAGATGGTTTTTATAAATAGAGCATTTATCCCATGACTCACCAGTGATATCTTTGTCTGTGGCCCTCGGCTCAAGGTTCATGGCATACAAATCAGACACTGTGACGGTGCAGCCCTGCCTGCTCAGTTCATCTACAGCCACATTCTTCAAGGATCCGTTGAAAGACTTGGGTTCCTGGTGTGCATAGACAATGAGTACTTTCTTACCTAAATCAGGATAAGAAACAGTTCCTCTTGAAGAACAACCTCTCTCTGTTAAATTCAATGAAGACTAAGATGAAAATTGAATGTTCAGGTGCATCATAGTAATTGAAGCTAAGAAATATCAAATTTTCTTTTCTTTCTGTCTCTTTCTCTCTCTTCTTTTTAGACAGTCTCACTCTGTCACCCAGGCTGGAATGCAGTGGCATGATCTCAGCTCACTGCAACCTCTGCCTCCCAGGTTCAAGTGATTCTCATGCCTCAGTCTCCTGACTAGCTGGGACTACAGGTGTGTTTCGTGGGAAGTCAGGGACCCCGAATGGAGCAACTGGCTGAGGCCATGGCAGAAGAATATAAATTGTGAAGATTTCGTGGACATTTATTAGTTCCCCAAATTAATACTTTTGTAATTTCTTATGCCTGTCTTTACTGCAATCTCTGAACGTAAATTGTGAAGATTTCATGGACAGTTATCACTTCCCCAATCAATACCCATGTGATTTCCTATGCTTGTCTTTACTTTAATCTCTTAATCCCATCATCTTCATAAGCTGAGGAGGATGTATATTGCCTCAGGACCCTGTGATGATTGTGTTAACTGCACAAATTGTTTGCAGAGCATGTGTGTTTGAACAATATGAAATCTGGGCACCTTGAAAAAAGAACAGGATAACAGCAATGTTCAGGGAACAAGAGAGATAACCTTAAACTCTCACTGCCGGTGAGCCAGGCGGAACAGAGACATATTTCTCTTCTTTCAAAAGCAAATGGGAGAAATATCGCTGAATTCTTTTTCTCAGCAAGGAACATCCCTGAGAAAGAGAATGCGTCCCTGAGGGTGGGCCTCTGAAATGGCCGCTTCGGGGCGGCAGCTGTCTTTTATGGTCCAGCTGTAGGGATGAAATAAGCCCCAGTCTCCCGTAGCGCTCCCAGGCTTATTAAGACAAGGAAATTCCTGCCTAATAAATTTTGGTCAGATCGGTTGTCTGCTCTCAAACCCTGGCTCCTGATAAGATGTTCTCAATGACAATGGTGCCCAAAACTTCATTAGCAATTTTAATTTCGCCCCGTCCCGTGGTCCTGTGATCTCGCCCTGCCTCCATTTGCTTTGTGATATTCTATTACCTTGTGAAGCATGTGATCTCTGTGACCCACACTCTATTTGTACACTCCCTCCCCTTTGGAAAATCACTAATAAAAACTTGCTGGTTTTACGGCTTGGGGGCATCACGGAACCTGCCGACATGTGATGTCTCCCCTGGACACCCAGCTTTAAAATTTCTCTCTTTTGTACTCTGTCCGTTTATTTCTCAGACCGGCCGACACTTAGGAAATATAGAAAAGAACCTACGTGAAATATTGGGGGTGAATTTCGCCCAATATCTGGCTGAATTTCCCCCGATAGATGTGTGCCACTACGCCCAGCTAATTTTTTGTATTTTTAGTACAGATGGGATTTTGCCATGTTGGCCAGGCTGGTCTTGAACTCCTGGCCTCAAGTGATCCACCCGCCTTGGCCTCCCAAAGTGCTGGGATTACAGGCATGAGCCACCGCACTTGGCCAGAAACACCAAACTTTCTTTTCTTTCCTTTTTTCTTTTTCTTTTTTTTTTTTTTTGAAACAGAGTTTCGCTCTTGTTGCCCAGGCTGGAGCAACGATCCCAGCTCACTGCAACCTCTGCCTCCCGGGTTCAAGCAATTCTCCTACCTCAGCCTCCTGAGTAGCTGGGATTACAGGCATGCGCCACCACGCCCGGATAATTTTTTGTATTTTTAGTTAAGACCGGGTTTCTCCATGTTGGTCAAGCTGGTCTCGAACTCCCGACCTCAGGTGATCTGCCCACCTTGGCCTCCCAGAGTGCTGGGATTACTGGTATGAGCCACAGCACCTGGCCCCAGAAATACCAAACTTTCTAATAGGTGGCAGTTTTAAAGCAATGGGCATTTTAAAAATCCAGTTATTCATAGCTCAACATCACAATACAATGGGTCAAATTATATCTCCTCAAAAATACCACCACTAAATCTTTTAAAAGCCCAACCTAATTTGGTTATCCTCTGTAAGAAGGTTTAGACCAGCTCCCTAACACCAAAATAAAGAACTGCTGGAATTAGTCTTCCATGCTAACCCTACATTTGCAGATATCAGCTACAGGCACCTTTCAGTGTGGCACAGTTCTGCTTCCATCTCCCCCAGTCCATCAAATCTGACACTTAAACAAAACATGAGGAATCAGACCCGCTGGTCTCATGGGAAGGCAGGGCCACATGGAGCCCATCTTTCAGTGGTGATGCTGATAACAAAGAGGACTCTAGGAAGAGTCAGGCCCTCCTGGCACTGGCAGTATCGTTCACACCAGGGGCTTCTGAAGCAGTATTTTCCTCATTGGAAAGAGTCTCCAGGCTTATATACTGACTTCGTCTGGGAGGCAGCCTGGTGATTTGCTTAATTAAATTTACCCTGGTCACCTTTAAGAAGATGTTAAACTCTTGATTTAAATTTTTCATAATGACACTTTAAGGAAAAGATACACGTATCAGTTTGAAGCAATGGGTTTCAGGGCATTGAGCTGGCTACAAAGGTTGAATTCCATAAGTTAGATTCATGGTTAACATTTTAATTTTACTTTCTCAGACTCTTGTTTCAATAAAGGAACTATACTTAGGGGCTTAACAGGAGAATAGATGCAAATGAAATACCTACACCAATGGTTCTCAACTGGGGCAGTGTTGTGCCTGCTAGGGGACGTTTCTCAATGCCTGGAGACATTTTGGTTTGTCACAGCCGGTGGGGGAGGGGTGCTACTGGCATCTGGTGGGCAGAGGCCAGGGATGGTGCTAGGTGCTAAACAGGGTGCACAGGATGACCCCCCAAAACATAGGATTATCTGGCCCAGAATGTCAGTGGTGCCAAGGGCGAAAATCCGAATCTACACCATAATGTATAGAGTAAGGTGAACCTGTGCGTTCTAACACGAAAGGCTCTCCATGTTATATCGTTAGGTGAAATTAAAAAGTTGAGAGATTGCATGTTCATGTATATGTGCATGATAAGCAGTTGCAAAAGCAAAGATAGAATCGTACTGAATTTTTACCCAAGATGCCTCCTGGGGTTCATTCACTTGAGCCCCTGCTACAGCCCAGGGAGAATTTCAGGGCCTGGAGGCACAGCAAAGACAGGATAGGCAGGGCCCCACTTTTGAGGAACCTAAATTCTGGAGGGAGTCGAAAGGAACAATGAAACAAGTGAGAACATAGAAAACAAGATAATTCCAGATAGTTTATACACTTCCACGTGGCTTGGATTTTTTACAACAATGTATCCAATTTCTGATTAAGAGTCTAACTCCCACCTGGAAGGTCAATGTGGGAGGGTCACTTGAGCTCAGGAGTTTGAGACCAGCCTGGGCAATACAACAAAATCCCATCTCAAAAAAAAAAAAGTCTTACTCCACAATAGTGAATCATTACCTGCCATAGCGTAAGAAGGTGGATTCCTTCTCTCTGATTTGATGGGTGGCTGGGGCTTTCCTGCGTAGTCTCTCTTCAGCGAGTCCAGCAATCTGGAAGACAAAACGAACCCAGAGGGGGTGGGGAGAGGCATAGGTGAGGTCGAATGTACCACATCTAGGCATCACTGCTGCTTCCTGACAGACACGCAAACACATCAGAGAAAGACCTCTCAAGAGAGGCCAGGAATCTTCTGGAGATTTAGGCCTCAGAGGACAAGCCACGCAGGATGTCAAAACCCATACTTTTTTCCTTTTTTGAGAGGACTCTGAACCTTCCATCCAGACAGTCATACAGCAAAGGACCCAGGAAATGAGCCACGGTAGGAAGCAGGAGTTGAGCCTCCTTGGCCTTCCTGCCTTCCCCAGTTTTCCCCGTAGATCGAGCAGAAGGCTGGGGGATCAGTGAACCGCCACACCACCAATGGGTGCGTGCACTCCTCGGCTGGTGCCAGACTCTGGTGGGCCAGCACTGGCAGTTGTCGGCCCTTCCCCTCACTTGAAAATAATGGGAGTTGGCTTAGACCCAGGCTCTAACCAGAAGTCTCAGAGATTCTCCAGGGATGCAGCGGAGGCCAGAGGAGCAGAGGAGACCCCCGCATCAGACAGACTTGGTGCAATTTCCAGCTCTGCCCATTGTAGCTGTGGGCCCTGCAGCACATCCCTCCACCCCTCTGTGCCTCAACCTCCTCATCAACAAAGTCACAGCATGGCCCAGAAGAGTGAGAGAGAGACAGTTGCTATGTGCGGTGGCTGGCACACAATGGGGCTCTGGAAAAACGTGAGTTCTCCCCAGGGGAGCCTTTGGCCTCACCCCCTCCTGGCCATCTCTGAAATTCTGGCTTCCTTCTGGGAGATACAAGGAGACTCCAACAAACCCACTCTCCCTACCATAAAAAAACAGCTCAGATAAAACTTAACAACAACAAAGCAAACAACTCAATGCAAAAATGGGCAGAAGGCTTGTGTAGGCTTTTCTCCAAAGATGTATGAATGGTCAGTAAGCCATGAAAAGATGCTTAGCATCACTAATCATTAGGGAAATGCAAATCAAAACCACAATGAGATCCCATATCACACGCATTAGAATGGCTACTACTACCAAAAAACAAAACACACGTAGGTGAGGATGCGGAGAAGTTGGAACCCCGTGCACCGCTGGGGAAAGGTCGAGTGCTGCCGCTGCTGGAGAGGTGCTGTGCCCCCAAAAATTACAATTAGAAAAATGAGAATTAACATATGACTCAGCAATTCCATTCGTTACTCTGAACCCAAAAAACTGAAAGCAGGGTCTTGAAAACCACTTGCCCACCCATGTTCAAAGCAGCATTTTCCACAACAGCTAAAACATGGAAGCAACCCAAGTGTCTATCAGTACATGAATGAAAACAGCCAGAAAATTCTACCCTTAAAAGTGGCTAAAATGAGGTCAGGCACCGTGGCTCACACCTGTAATCCCAGCACTTTGGGAGGCTGAGGCAGGTGGATTACCTGAGGTCAGGAGTCCGAGACCAGCCTGGCCAACATGGCGAAACTCCGTCTCTACTAAAAATACAAAAATTAGCCGGGCGTGGTGGTGTGCACCTGTAATCCCAGCTACTCGGGAGGCTGAGACAGAGCGAGACTCTGTCCAAAAACACAAAAAACAAACAAACAAAAAAAGTGGTTAAAATGGTCAATTTTATGTGAGATGTTCTGTACCACAGTAGGAAAAAATGGGATAAAAAAACAATGCAGAGAGTGTGACTAGGGCTTAGTGTGAAGACACGCATCGCGCATGTTGTGTCCAAACGACAACGTGAACCTATCAGTGTGTCTTTACAGCAAAACAAAAAGCACAGAGACACACAAAAGTGGTGCTTATCCCCACCAGGACTGGAATCTTGAGCAGGGCCTGAATGAGCATCTTCCAGGGCCCACTCCTTATCTCCAGCTGTCCAGGAGCACAGGCACAGGGCTGGGGTCTGCAGAATACTGCAAGAAGTGAGGTGGGTGCTGAGGAGTGGGCTCCACCCAGGCCAGGTGCCCTGTGGATGGAAAGGAAAAGAGGCTACATCATTGTGGCTGAAGCTGAGTTGGGGGCAGGCATGGGACTTAACAGAGTGGGGCACTGTCACTCCCCAAGAGGGCAGACAGCTCTGATCACTCCAAACACCCAAAGGTGACTTCAAATCCTTCCCCATTCGCTTGACTTCACTGGACAGCTGGGAACCTGCATCTTTAGTGACTGAATATCCCCACTCTGGTTCCCCAAGGACAGACCCTGAATTGATTCCAGGAATCCACGTGTACAGGTAAGCACTACATTTCCTAGGCTGCCTTGCAGTTGAGATGGCCAGTGAGGTGTCAGCAGAAGTCACAGGCGGGGCTTCCAAGAAATACCCTCAAGAAGCGAACTCAGCTGGGGCTGGGAGGTGTGGGAGCTAGCTCCCTCTGGCTTTGTCGCTGGCTCTCTTCCCAGCTGGACTGTGGGATGATGTTAGGGCTCAGTCAGCCTTCTTGTCGTCCTGGGGATGGAGGCTATGCACCAAGGGCAGGGAGCAGAAATACCAAAGGAACCTGGATTCCCGGGGCTCTCTTGGGGCTGCAAGATGGTGGTGGATTGGCAACTGCAGATATTTGTGTTTATGTATTTTCCATGCAGAAACATCTACAATGGCACTGAGTCTGTAGCGAGGGCCATGCACTGTCTGTCTGAAAGTGCTCCAGGCACAGGCTTTGTGTCCAAGTACCTTGCTGTGTTTAAGGTACATCACAGCACCGGAGAATGTGGGAGAGGTCACATTCATCCCTTCAAAGCGCAGGGAGGTTCCTATTCTGACACCAGCAACACTTACAAGAATGAACCTAAAGCTGGGCAGTGAGGAAGGAAAGGAAAAAGAAAGTTTATGAATACAGGTAGTATTGTTTGAACCGGTAAGTTGCACTATAAATCACAATAAAAGATAGTCTGTATATCACTAAAACAGAAGAGTTGGCCGCCCTGAGGATGAGGCCTTTGGGTCTCCAGGCATTTGCCAGCTCTCCTAGCCTAGGGGCAGGGGCGCCTGCACAGCCCTCTGCTTTTCCTAGAATTCTCAGCAGCGAGCATGTGTCAGGGAGAGACATGGTTGTCTTAGCACTGAGGCTGAAATCCTGGATGTTCTTGGGAGGGCAGTGATTGTGAAGAACAAGTTACTTGTCTAGTTCCTGGGGGTCACTCCTCAAAGCCTCCCGATGAGGCAAGTTTACAGGATCCATGCTCCCTGAGCCAGCAGTGACACCCACACTTGGCAGTGAGAAGTGGGGCTGTAACTTACAGGGTGAGCCAAAATGGCGGGTCTGGAAAGGGATTATCTTAAAGGAAAAAGAGAGGAGAGTGAGTGACTTCATCATTAGCTGGGAGGCTCTACAGTGCCCTGGTGGACAGTCACTGCCTGGAGGTGACTTTGTAGAAAGCAAACTTTGGCTATCACAATGCATAGGGAGGCCTGGCAAAGCCCAGGGAAGCAGAAGGCCCAGCACTTTGAGAGGCTGAGGCAGGAGATCACTTGAGCCTAGGAATTTGAGACCAGCCCGGGCAACATAGTGAGATCCCATCTCTACCAAAGATTTTTAAAAATTAGCCAGGTGTGGTGGTGCATGCCTGTAATCCCAGCTACTCAGGGGGCTGAGATTAGAGGATTGCTCCACTCCAGACTGGGTGACAGAGTTAGGCTCTGTTTCAAGAAAAAAGAGAAAGTAAAAGAAAAAAAAGAAAGCCTGTTTGGCTGAACTGTGGTTCAAAAAAAAAAAGAGTGGATGGTGGTAGATGCAGTCAGGGAGGTGGGAGGGGTCTGACCTGACCCCTCCTAGGGTAGGGGTGAGGATTTTATTCTAAGCCTGACAGAAAGCCCTTGGAGCCTCTTAAGCTGGAGAGTAATATGGAATGATCGCCAGTTGTGGTGGCTCACACCTGTAATCCCAGCATTTTGGGGGGCCGAGGTGGGGGGATCACCTGAGGTCAGGAGTTTGAAACCAGCCTGGTCAATGTGGCAAAACACCATCTCTACTAAAAAATACAAAAATTATCCGGGTATGGTGGCATGTGCCTGTAGTCCCAGCTACTTGGGAGGCTGAGGCAGGAGAATCACTTGAACCTGGGAGGTGGAGGTTGCAGTGAGTCAAGATTGTGCCATTGCACTCCAGCCTGGGCAACAGAGCAAGACTCTGTCTCAAAAAAGAAAAAGAAAATAGAGTGATATGAAATGATTTACCTTTGTAAATGTTGCCAGTGTTTCTGCAGACTGGGGGAACACCTTATCCTGATTCCCAAAGTGATTGCCCGAAATCATGTTGTTTGTATGAAATGCTTCATTTTCACTCCTCTAGACAGGGCATCCATTCTTCAGTGTCCCCAGCTCACCACTCCCTTTTGTATTCCTTGGCCCAGTTTACATGTTTACATCATATGGCTGGTGGCATGTGAGTTTGTGACTTCTGTCTCCATCCCCCTAGCGGTTAAGAATAAGAATCTGAGGTCCAAGAGCTGAGTGACTAACTCAGCTCTATTTGAGTGACTCAGCTCTATTTTCTATACTATTTGAAATAGTGGGGAAAGACTCCAACACAGGCTCTTGACTTGCAGTTGTGTCACTGTTCACTTGACCCCAGGCACTTCCCTTGGCACCCCATCCACAGCAGTGACAGTTCTCTCCCTTTTTAGAAACTATGCACCTACCCAGGCCTACAGGAAAAAAGAGCCATGTGGTTATTAAACTGTATATACCAGGTCAAGTGGGCTCTGATATTTTTGACGTGTACATTATTTAATTTTAAGAAGTTATTTTATAATGTTTTCACTTTTTTTCCTGTGCCTCTTTCCATGTGGACAGTCCCCGTGCTGGGCATTCTAACAGACAACATCTCACAGTGTATTCAGTGTGTATTCATGCGGCAGCTAAACCATTGCCTGCATACCCTTTTGTGCCCATTTTCCTATTTCTGGGACCTTAGGTTATTTCCATTTTTTTCCCAAAACTATAAACAGCACAGCTAGAAGTATATATTATTTAATACTTGTTCCTTTTCATGTATTTCTTTGGCTGTGATCTTCGGAGATTAAAGGTTAAACTGATTTATTTTTTCAGAGATTAAAGGTTAAAGAAGCTGATTTTTGGCCGGGCGCAGTGGTTCATTAATCCCAGCACTCTGGGAGGCCGAGGCAGGCGGATCACCTGAGGTCAGGAGTTTGAGACCAGCCTGACTAATATGGTGAAACTCCATTTCTACTAAAAATACCAAAAATTAGCTGGGTGTAGTGGCACGCACCTGTAATCCCAGCTACTCGGGAGACTGAGGCAGGAGAATAGCTTGAACCCGGGAGGCAGAGGTTGCAGTGAGCTGAGATTGTGCCATTGCACTCCAGCTTGGGCAATAAGAGTGAAACTCCATCTCAAAAAAAAAAAAAAAAGAAAAAGAAAGGAAGAAGAATGAGTTCAAGACCAGCCTGGCCAATATGGTGAAACTCCCACCTGTACTAAAAATACAAAAATTAGCCGGGCATGGTGGCAGGCGCCTGTAATCCCAGCTACTCAAGGGGCTGAGGGGGGAGAATCGCTTGAACCTGGAAGGCAGAGGTTGCAGTGAGCTGAGATTGCCCCACTGCACTCCAGCCTGGGCAACAGAGTGAGACTCTTCTAAAAAAAAAAGAAAAAAGAAAAAGAGGGCCGGGAGCAGTGGCTCACGCCTGCAATCCCAGCACTTTGGGAGGCCCAGGCGGGCGGATCACGAGGTCAGGAGTTTGAGACCAGCCTGACCAACATGAAACCCGTCTCTACTAAACATACAAAAAATTAGCCAGGCGTGGTGGCACGCCCCTATAATCCCAGGTACTCGGGAGGCTGAGGCAGGAGAATTGCTTGAACCCGGGAGGCGGAGGTTGCAGTGAGCCGAAATCGTGCCACTGCACTCCAGCCTGGGCGACAGAGTGAGACTCCGTCTCGGGGAAAAAAAAAAAAGCTGATTTTTTTTTTTCCCAGAGAGATTATAGGTTAGAGAAGCTGATTTTTCATTTTTTCCACAGTGCCACAATGTCCTTGACAAAGGCAGCGCAAACCAGTGGTTCAGCCGCGCCTTCAGGGCAGCGCTGGGCAGCGCACGGGCCTAAACCCCGGTACCCCCTTTACAGACTGACCTTGGGCCCGCTGATTCCTACTTGTAATATGACTATGATACCAGCACCCGCTCCATAGGGTTGAGGGCAGATTCCACCAGACGATTCGACACCGGGACCCTGCGTGTGGGCGCGTTCCGTGAGAGCCAAGCACGATCCTATGTACAGAATGGTCCCTGGCCCGGGCGCGACGACCCACAGGGCCATATGGCCGGCCAGCTGAAATCCCTGAGAGCGTTCTGGCCGTCCAGTCCGGGAACTGTCCTTCCCAAGTCCCCCGGTCCCCGACAGGGGATCACTCACCTTCCGACCAGCGCACTCCCCAGTAGGAGCCGCAGGACTGGGACCCGCGTCTCCCCAAGGACCGCTCTAGGAGTTGCGCCAGGTTCCGGCCGCACTGGACCGCGCACTCGCTGACGCCTGGAGGGCGGGAGCGCTGCGACTGCGCCCCCGGGGACCACGGACCGGTGCCAACCTAAGCAGCCCGGAACCTGCCCCGCGCCGCGGGACTGCAGGCCTCTTTACGCAGCGCGCCTACCACGCCGAGGCCCCGCCCACTCACCCGCCCCGCCCGTGAGCCCCGCCCACACCCCGCCCCGCCCCCGAGCCCCGCCCACTCCCCGCCCCGGCGGTGCGGTGCCTCGCTCCGCGCCCGTCCGCGCCCAGGCCCCGCCTCCACAGCGGCGTCCCGCCCCACCCACACCTCGCCTCGGCCCCTAAGCTCCGCCCACTCCCCGCCCCTGAGGTCCATCTGGGGCCTCGCCCGGCGATCTGGGACTGGGGAGGACCCTGCTGACTTCCAGGCAGGTGGAAACTGGATTGATAGAAATCCAGCGCGGGGAGGCTGTGCTGAGAGGAGGGACGCCCCTGCCCTGCGCCTCCCGCTCCCCATCTCTGGCTGGTATCCCGGTTACAGAATGAGGGTCCGTGGTGCAACAGAAAGAATGAGCCACTGATACACTCATCAGCTTGCTCGGATCTCCCGGGGAGTTACGCTGGTGAGAGAAACCAGTCCCAAAGGTCACTCACCGACGGCGCCGCTGGTGTACTGGTATTATGCAAGATGCCCTCGCAAAGGTCACGCACGGATGGTTCATTTATCCAAAGACCAAAGGAGAGAAATGCAGGACTCATTAGCAGTGCCCAGGAGATAGGGGGGCGGGTGGGTGTGGCTATAAAAACGCAACCCGGGGGGTGCCTGTGAAGGAAATCTGCGTCCCGCGGAACGCAACACGCTGTTGGGATACTGGATTGTCCTTTGTGAGATGCCACTATCGGGGGAAACCGGATGGCTTCACAGAAAAAGTTCGTTTAAAGGAAAATGGTTTAAGGCCAAGGAAATACCTAGAAAACGGAAAGTCTTGAAACCAGAGCCGGTGGGGAGTTATGGGGGGCGGTGCTGGTGAACAGTTTGGGCCGACTTTTTCCAGCGCTTGCTGGCTTCTGCCACCTCATTTGGCAGTCACCTGCCACTGTGACCTCCCCAAGTCCCTTCTCCAAACTCAATTCCTTGATTTCTGGTGTCCCGGGATGGCCCCACTCCAACAATAGAGCAGAAGGAAGGAAGGTTTCCCCTGTGTTTAGAACGTTCCTAACGAAAATAACTGCAACTCTTGATTGTACCTCCTGAGGGTCGTTGGGACTTTCCCTCTCAGACATTTATTGGTTCATTCATTCGTTCATTTTGCTGTAACTCACAGTGGCCCTCCCCATCCTAAGGTGCACTGCTGGGATTGGTCTATGTGCTGATGATGTTCTCCTTGTCTTCAGAGGTGAGAATGTGCCCTCCCTCCGAGATGCCCTCTTGCCCCTGAGCTCCCCAGCAGGGAATAGGCTGCCTTGTCTTGTGAGTCCAGATCCTGGGAACAACTTTCATTTAGGAATGGAACAGCAGGTCCTGGGAGCATTGGCGCCTGCGCGCCCATCATGCGCGTGTGTGATGCAACATCACCACCTTGTGGCAGCGAGGAGCTATCACAACGTGGACTGAGCAAGTTGCTCCCTGCTTGGGGTTGGGAGCTGGACTGGCCTAGTTCCCTGGGTCTTTTGTAACCTGAATGGTGGTAGATTCCAGGACAGTTCAGTAGGAGCCCATCCTCAAAAGGAAAATAACAGAACTTCCTGCTAATCTGGTATTGGGGCTGAGCAATTACTGCACACTAATGAGATTGACCATAATTGCATCCTGAGTTTGAGGAGGAGGTCATGCTACTAAAATGAGATAAAATCAGCTCCAACGACAAACATCATCTCTGGGGGTTTCCAGATTCTCACTTTTCATTTAATCCCCAGCCTTAGTGGAAAGCAAGAGTCGGAGTCGGCATTCTGGGCAGGGAGGCAGGTGAGGCAGGTACACATCTCCTCTTCTCCCCAACGCCCCATGTTTCTATTTCTGAATAAAATGAACCATCATGGTGCTAAGGTAAAGCTAAACTAGCTGAGCCACCTCCTGAAGAGGTCATTGCTTTTGTTTTTATTTAATGAGATTTCTTTCCCTTCTGCTACCAGCATCCCTATTCCTTTGGAAAACTGCTTCTTCATAATAACATAAAGGTTTTGGATTTTTTGTTTTGTTTTTTGGGTAGCAAAATCTGTATAACATGAAATTTTCTATTTTCACCATTTTAAGTGTACAATTCAGTGGCATAAATTACCTTTAGAGTGCTGTGCAACCATTACAACTATTTATTTTCAAAACGTTTTCATCATCCCAAATAGAAACACTTGGGTCAGGGGCCATAGATCACGCCTGTAATCCCAGCACTTTGGGAGGCAGAGGCATGCAGATCACCTGAGGTCAAAAGTTTGAGACCAGCCTGGCCAACATGGCGAAACCCCATCTCTACAAAAATTTGCCAGGTGGTGTACACCTGTAATCCCAGCTACTCAGAGGCTGAGGCAGGAGAATTGCTTGAACCCAGGAGGCGGAGGCTGCAGTGAGCTGAGATCGTGGCACTGCACTCCAGCCTGGATGACAGAGCGAGACCCTGTCTCAAACAAAAACAAAAACAAATAGAAACACTGCACTCATTGGATAATAAATCCCCATTCTCCCCTCCTTCCACTCCTGGTAGCCTCTAATCTACTTTCTGTCTCCATGAATTTGTCTATTGCATGTATTTCATATAAGTGGAATCCTACAAGATGTGGCCTTTTCACTAAGCTTTTTTTCCTCAAAAACCTTGTTGCTGAGTTTCATCCATGTTGTAGTATGCATCAGAACTTCATTCCTTTTTATGGCCGAATAATAGAAAAATGTGTATACCGCCTGGCCAACGTGGGGAAACCCCATCTCTACTAAAAACACAAAAATTAGCTGGGCATGGTGGTGTGCACCTGTAGTCCCAGCTACTCGGGAGGCTGAGGCAGGAGAATCACTTGAACCCAGGAGGCAGAGGTGGCGGTGAGCTGAGATTGTGTCATTGCACTCAAGCCTGGGCAACAAGAGCAAGACTGACAGAAAGAAAAGAAAGAAGAAAGAGAGAAAGAAAAAGAAAGGAAGGAAGGAAGGAAGGAAGGAAGGAAGGAAGGAAGGAAGGAAGGAAGGAAGGAAGGAAGGGTACCAGGCATTGTTTATCCACTCATCTGTTGTTTGACTATTGTGAATAATATTGCAATGATTATTGGTGTACAAGTATCTGTTTCAGTCCCTGTGTTCAATAATTTTGGTTATACACCTTGGAGTGGAATTGTCGGTATTACAATTCTATGGTCATTCTATGTTTAGCTTTCTGAGGAACAGCCAAACTGTTTTCCACAGCGTCTACACCATTTCACATTTTCACCAACAATGTACACAGGTTCCAACTTCTCTACATTCTCACGCACATTTGTTATGTTTCTTTTTTTTCCCTCTAAATTATAGCCATCCTAGCAAGTGCGAAGTGGTATCTCATTGTGGTTTTGATTTGCATTTCCCTAAGGACTAATGACTTTGAGCATCTTTTCATGTGCTTACTGGCCATTTGTATACCTTCCTTGGAGAAATGTCTATTCAAGTCCTTTGTTGACCATTTAATTGGGTTGTTTGTCTATTTGTTGTTGAGTTGTAGGTTTTTTGTTTGTTTTTTGAGACGGAGTTTTGCTCTTGTTGCCCAGGCTGGAGTGCAATGGCGAGATCTCGGCTCACCGCAACCTCCGCCTCCTGGGTTCAAGTGATTCTTATGCCTCAGCCTCCCGAGTAGCTGGGATTACGGGAATACGCCACCACGCCTGGCTAATTTTATATTTTTAGTAGAGACAGGGTTTCTCCATGTTGGTCAGCCTGGTCTCAAACTCCCGACCTTAGGTGATCCGCCCACGTCGGCCTCCCAAAGTGCTGGGATTACAGGCGTGAGCCACCGCACCCGGCCGAGTTGTAGGTGTTCTTTACATATTCTGGATGTTATCAGACATAGGATTTACAAATATTTTCTCCCATTCTGTAGGTTGTCTTTCACTTTCTTGAAAATGTCCTTTGATATAAAAGTTTCACATTTTTTATGAACTCCAATTTACCTATTTTTTGTTGTTTCTTCCTGGGCTTTTAGTGTCTTATCTAAGAACCCAAAACACAAGATCATGAAGATTTACTCTTACGTTTTCCTCTATATGGCTTTAGTTCTTATATTTAGGTTGTGAATTATTTTTCACATATGGTGTGAAGTGGAGCCCAACTTTAGTCTTGCATGTGGAAATCCATTTCTCTCACAGCATATATTAAAGAAACTATTATTTCATCATTGAATGGACTTGGCACTCTTGTCAAAAATTCACTGGCCACAGATGTATGGATTTATTGAGGATCCCTTGTACATCTCTTGCAGCTTTTAAGATTCTCCCTTAGTCTTATACAGGCATATCTGCCTTATTCTGCTTCTCTTTATAGTACTTCCACAGATGTTGCATTTTTTTTTTTTTTACAAATTGAAGGTCTGTGGCAATCCTGTGTCAAGGAAGTCTATGTTTATGTGATCAATATTATTATCAATTATTGTATTGTGATTCCTCAGAAAGGTTACATAATCTATTGACACCTCTAGCATGGGATAGTGACACATATAACAGATACTGACACTCTGTCCATCACTGAACTGTGTGTGGATTGATCAAAGCAATCTTTGAGTGAGTCTAGTTTCCCCTCTGGTAGGACCTACTTAGACGGAGATAAAATATTTTCTCACCGCTTACATTAATCTAGATTTAGATATAGTTGTCCTCCTGTATTTGTGTGTTCCATATCTGCTGATTCAACCAACCTCCAATGGAATATATTTGAAAGAAAAAGCAATACAACAATAAAAAAATACAAATAAAAATACAGTGTAACAACTATTTATATAGCATTTACATTGTATTAGGTACTATATGTAATCTAGAGATTATTTACAGTATATGGGAGGCTGTGCAAAGGTTATGTGTCAATACTATGCCATTTTATATCAGGGATTTGAGCATCTGTGGATTTTGATATATTTGAGGGGTCCTGGTCCCAGTCCTCCATGAATACCCAGGATTGACTATATATTTTTGGATGTTAAATCACCTTGCAGAACTTGAAAAAAAAGTTATCAAGTAAACAATCTCCAGGTGAAATAGTCCATATCAGTACCGTCTTTCAAGTATTAGTTGTTTATCAGTCAGATTACTATTAAGGCTGACATAACTTTGATCAGACCAAGTTTCTGAACAGTTCATATCCCTAAACTGAACATTAGTTCCTCGTTCTCATGCAACACATAGCCCGTTTTTCTTTGCACATTGTCTGATTTTCATATGTGCTTGACACTTAATAATTTTAAGTTCCTATGGCTTTACTAGTGCGTAGGAAAGATTTTCAACTGTATCATAGGACTTGTGAAAATGGAAAGAATGGAAAATGTAAGACGAAGTGTAGACACTAAAATCTTAGACTCAACACCCTTATATCATATGGCCTTCTTCTAAGGAGTGTAGGTTCCTGTCTTAGTCTGTTTTGTGTTGCTATAAAGGAATACCTGAGGCTGAGTAATTTATAAAGATAAAAGGTTTATTTGGCTAATGACTCTGAATGGTTGGAAAGTTCAAGGTTGGGCATCTGCATCTGGTGAGGGCCTCAGGCTGCCTCTACTCATGGAGGAAGGTGAAGGAGAACTGGAGTGTGCAGAGATTACATGGCAAGAGAGTAAGCAAGAGAGAAAGGAGGGAGGTCAAGGATTGTTTCTAACCACCAGCTCTGGAAGAACTCACTCACCCCTGAGGGAGGGCATTCATCTATTCATAAGGATCTGGCCCTGCAACCTAAACACCACCCATTAAGCCCCACTCCAACATTGGTGATCACATTTCAACTTGAGGTCAGGCTTGGCGGTGCTCACCTGTAGTCCCAGCTACTCCAGAGGCTTAGGTGGGAGGATTGCTTGAGCCCAGGAGTTCAAGGCTACGGTGAGTCACAAACACACCACAGCACTCCAGCCTGGGTAACAGAGCGAGGCCCTTATCTATGAAAACAAGAAAAAAGATGAAACAAATTTCAACATGAGGTTTGGAAGGAACAAACATCTAAATCACACAGTAGTTCCTGACCTGAAGCTATTGTCACATTATTGATGTGTATAATTTAGAAATATGTCATTAATAGCCAATACTCAGATCTAGAAAACTAGTGGACAAAGCGAGTGCTTTAAAACCAAAGTGGCATTTAAAAAAAAATCAAACCTACTGGTTTTCCTACTAAGTAAGTCTTGAAATAATGCACTATAGAGATCCTGTCTTATCTATACAGCTAGAGAGAATAACAAATTTTACTTTTATCAGTTAAATAAATTTTGTCTTAATATGACTTATTATTTATATTTATCTTTTTACATTTCAAAAACACTATGTTATTCAATTGAATGACTTATAATTTTTGAGTTACCTGGTCACTGTATTATCATTGTCAGTTATTATATTTCACATGCATTACTTAGTAAAGACAAATCTTGGGGCCGGGCACGGTGGCTCACACCTATAATCCCAGCACTTTGGGAGGCCAAGGCGGGCGGATCACGAGGTCAGGAGATCGAGACCATCTTGGCTAACATGGTGAAACCCTGTCTCTACTAAAAATACAAAAAATTAGCCGGGCGTGGTTGCAGGTGCCTGTAGTCCCAGCTATTCGGGAGGCTGAGGCAGGAGAATGGCCTGAACCCGGGAGGCGGAGCTTGCAGTGAGCAGAGATCGTGCCACTGCACTCCAGCCTGGACGACAGAGCGAGACTCCGTCCCAAAAAAAAAAAAAAAAAAGAAAAATCTTTACCAAGGCCTGATTTCTTGAGCATATTGATATAATATATAGTTAAACATGTTATTGATAGACAAGATGTTTCTCAAGAATATTATGTTTGTGCAGAAATTACCACATAAAATTAAATCCTTCTTTTCGGCTGACTATTTTTTAAAAACTTAGGCTGATATTAATGAAAAAACTGAAACCCAAATGAAGCCTGGAGTTAATAGTAATGTACAACGTTGGGACCTTAGTTTCCACAAATGTATCTGTTTTACTTTAAGATCTTCAAGATGCGGAGCACCCCTACAACGATTAGGAGAGACACAGGCTAGAAATAGTTTATTACTTACAGATCCTGGGGCACATGGCATACTTGGAGGCCACCTTCATGGAAATCAGGGAGTGCAGGCAGAGAGACCAAGACAGCAACCCATGGGCCAACACCTTTATTGGGTCCAGGGTGTTATCCAAACAGGTTTCCCATGGGGAGTTTTATTCGGTGGGTTTACAGCAAGCAGGCATGAGTTCCAGGAGGTGGCACAGTGACTGAGTGGTGGGCCCTGTGGCGCATCTGCACATTCTAGGTGGGGTGTGAGGGTCAGTGTGGCCAATAGGTTCTAGCTGTGCCATAGAGAAGTGGTCAACAGGAGATAGTTGTATGAGGCAGATATCTGGATCCACCACATAACAGAACTGGGAGAAGGTGGAGAACCAGCAACTTTGTCCGGGGTGACTGAGCCTTGATTTTGGTGTGGGAAAGTCCAATGTATATTCAAAATGGATGTGGAGGCAACCCAACATAAGAATTCACAACACTACCATGGTGATATGTTACCATTAGGGGAAACTGTGTTAGGGGAATATGGTAACTACCTGTATTATCTGACTTTCCTGTGAATCTAAAGTTATTCCAAAGTAAAAAAAAAAATTGTATTAAAAAAACTATTATAAATAAAAGTTTAATGACACTAAAATCCCTGCTTTAAAATCTTATGAGCTAGCAGAGTACATTTCTAACTTATATGTTATATGTGCTGTTAACTATGAGAAGATCTCCCCCAAAATCATGTTTTTCTAATTTCTTATAAAAATACTAATACAAAACTGCTTATTGACTGCATCTCATCAGCTGTTATTCTTTTAGACTGATTGAATTATTCTAAGTTGCTTTTCCAGATTCATCTAATAAAAAGAAAGATTGGATCTGACATGAACAGTGTATAAATTAGTACAAGAAAGTCTCTTTTCTGAATCAAATCTTGGTCCTACAGTTTAGGATTTTATTTATTTAATTTACTTTGAGACAGGGTCTCATTCTGTTGCCCAGGCTGGAGAGCAGCGGCGCTATATCTCAGCTCACTGCAACCTCCGCGTCCCGGGTTCAAGCGATTCTGGTGCCTCAGCTTCCTGAGTAGCTGGGACTACAGGTGAGCGCCATCACACCCGGCTAAATTTTTTATTGTATTTTTAGTAGAGACAGGGTTTCATCATGTTGGCCAGGCTGGTCTCCAACTCCTGGCCTCAAGTGATCCACCAGCCTCAGCCTCCCAAAGTGCTGGGATTACAGGAGTGAGCCACCATGCCCAGCCTAGTTTAGGATTAAAAAATTGTTCTATGCCTTAATGCCAAAGATAGAACATTGTAATAATTATTTTATTACAATTTATGTAATTATTTTAATTATTTTATGTCTTTAAGAAACAATTTGCCTCTGTCATATCTCACATTAAAATGGAAAAAAAAATTCCTTATGTTTGTGTTCTAACAAATTAAAAGTTGTGTATCATTGTGAATTCAAAAGAGAAGCAGGTAACACATGAACTGGGATCATGGAAACCAAACCAGAATAAAGCAAGCCCAGCACAATACTATCTTGGAGGCTGACCAGTTAGAAGGTCTTAAACATAATATATTTTAAACAAACAGTTAAAGGAAAAAGATTAACCTAGTGTTGTAACCGAGCGAGTTACAGAGAAACGCCACACTCTGAGACGAATTCAGGAGTCCTTTATTAGCCGGCAGCCGAGAGACAGCTAGCGCTCGAAATTCTCTTGGCCCCGAAGAAGGAGCTAGATTTTCTTTTATACTTTGGTTTAGACAGGGGAGAGGGGGAGTCTAGTTGAAACAATCTTACAGAAGTAAAGTAGGCAAAAAGTTAAAAGGATAAACGGTTACAGGAAAGTAAACAGTTCCAGGTGCAGAGGCTTTAAGTCTATCCTAAGGTGATGGACGCCGGGCTTTGGGCGTTATCAACCGGACACAAACGCAGGGGCTCTGGGTGCTATTAACCGGGCGAATTCCTGGGAACTGCGGATATAGCTTGCCACAGTATCTTATCAGTTAATTGCATTCTTGATGTGCTGGGAGTCAGCTTGCACAAGTTAAGTCCTTGAGGAAGGGGGTGGGTAAGGGGCTGCGAGTGAAGGAGTCACGATGGAGTCCGTCTGGCTCTCTTAGCTAAGGAAGAGTCACTTCAGGTTAAAACAAGGTAGGGTATCCCACTAGAAGCCTCACATCATTAAGCTTCAGTCAGGCAGGCATTCCTTTAAAAAGTGTTTACTGAGTACCTTCTCTATGTCAGTCACTATTTGGGGCATAAAGGACTCACTTCTCCGCAAAAACAAACTCTGATCCCCCGGTCTCCTCGAGTCACGGAGCTTGCAAGCTAGTGGGAAAAATTGGGAACTGGTGCAAAGAATGACTGCAAAATAAATTGTGGTCATCTTGAAGACATATGCGTGCATGTGTGCGTGAAGCTTTTTAAATAGAGAAGCTTTAAGTGGGGGAAATTTGCTGACATTACACGATTTCTTCTCTTAGTGCAAATGTATACAGCCTGTCTTTTTGAAGGGGTCACGGTAGATAATTATGCTCTGTTAACCTCATTTGTTGTCAGGGAAAATTAAAACTAAGGGTAGTGTCAGTAGGAATCTTGGTTCCTGCCAGTTTTGTTGTTTGTTAGCATATCTTCCTTTACAGGTAGTATGGTTTCATTTTCGTAAAAATGCTGCATAAACGTGGCTGGGTATGTTACTCATTGCAGTGCCTGCTGATTTCGCTGGACCCCACCCTGCTTTTGCTGCCCAATGCGATAGCATATGGGACAGAGCTAAATTCCTACTCAGCTGTAACTCTGCTTATTTTCAGGAAAAAGAATGCCTGTGTTTCGAAGTTCCTTCTTAGGACGAAACCAGCTGAAGCTGGCGAAATCCAAGATGGCGCCTCTGAAGAGCCTCTGGCTTTATCATCATCCTGTTCTCATGCTAAACAACATGTCGCCATGACAACGACTGGAAGAGACCAAGAAGGGACAGAAAAAAAGGGGTTTCTTGATTCCGGGAAAAATCTCCGTTCTTTCCCAAGGAAAGCACGAATATTCCCCCCCGTGCTCTTAATGCCCAGCCCCTTCATTAAAGACACCCTACCTCTGAAACTTCCCAGCTCTCACAAGCTAAGTTGATTTCAGATCTTCCAATTCCATAGCCATTGAATACAGCCTGCACTGCTTGACACACTCCCTTTCGGTTTCGTGCATTGGCCTCACCACGCAACAGGAAACAACCCTTTTTGGGATAACCGGGACTCCCGGTAACATTTCCATATATACATATCTTAATGTATGCAAGGGCGTCTGGGGGAGAAAGAAGCAGCACATTTCATTCTTTGCTTTCTATAATACTGGATTGCTTGAGTTTGTGACACATGTTAACATTTGCAACATTTTTAAACTAAATTGTATGTATTATAGAACAGTCCTCTGCGCTGAGCTTGGACTTAAAGTGGAAAGGCTTACATTTGCAGAATTAAAAAAAGCATCGAAACATTCTGTGGCAGGAAGTCCTGCGAGCCTCCTCGCCCCAGCCCGGTTTCCCGCGGGCCCCAGCCTCATCCCCCAAGGCCCCACCCTGAGAGCCCCCAGGTCCCAGCCGCGTCCTCCTGGACCCCTCCCAGGCGTGGCGAGCCGGGTCGCGGGAGCGCTCCGCCACCAGGGGACAGTGCGGCGCCGACCGTGGGCTGCTGGCTCGGCCGAGGGCACCCAGGCGCCCTCCGCTGCAGCGGGCTGGTTGCAGAGGGGCGGGCTCTCGCCAGGCAGCAGGCGCTCCGGGCGCAGCTGGGAGGAAGGAACGCCCCCGGGAGTGGGCGGCGGCCGAGGGACCCTGCAACCGTCCTCCCTGGAGGAGGCCCCCGCAGCTCCCGCAGCCCCCCTCATCCCGGACGGGCCGGGGATTGGGACTGGCCTGGGGTCTCCTACTCTCCTACTCCGCGCAGGAAGTAGCCCCTTGGCAGGACCGGCGGTGCCTGCTGCTTTCAGGAGCCCCGAGCCGCTTTTGTCTGGGTGCAGCTCAGCTCACATCCCCGATGCAAGTCTTTCCCGGCTCGTCTCCCCTTCTTCCCGGAGTCCATGCCTTGCTGTCGGTGACTCATCCCACACTGTGCCCTGCGACTCACCCTGTCGCTTTCTCTGTTCATCCGGGAGCGCGGCGCCATCTCCCTCCAGCCCCGCCTCCCCTACAGTGCTCCGTGCTGAGGTCGCACGTTCTCTCCTCCCTCCAGCTCCCTGGCTCTTGGCCCTTCCCAGGCCACCAGGCGACAGCAGCCTCCGCCTTCATTTCCCTTGGTCATTTCAGGCGCATGCTTGGAGGATTTCAGGATCTGACTCAGCTTCCCCGCCATGCATCCCTCCACCAGCATCCAGTCACACCTCTGCAGCCTTCAGTGTCCTGGAAAGGACTGACCAATCTGACCCATTAGAACCTACCCAGACCAATTTGAAGGCCACTGCCCCTCAACCGTGGCCACCCACTCCTGCCCCACCTGGAGCCCCAAACTGCTCAGTTCCTTCTCTAAAACTCTGCCCTCTTTTGTTTGTTGTGAATAACTGTCTTCCCTGGTTCTTTCCACACCTCTCTGGCCTCTCCTTGTCTTTTTCTGGTTCTTTTTTTCTCTATTCTCCCTTATGCACTGGCCTTGCTGGAGGTCCCTGCTCTCCCTGCAAAACCTCACCACACCCTTGACTTCAGCTATATCCATTTCACCTCACGTTGACATCTGGTGCCTAGACCTCTCTCCCGAGCCTTCCACACCATGCCAAAAATGAAATTCATTTTCTCCTCTAAATTTGCTCACCTTCTTGTTTTCCCAATCTTATTTATTGTCACAGCCATTCCCCTGCTGGTCCAAGTCAGTAGTCTGAGAGTCATGCTAGACTCCTCCTTCCTTATCTACCCATCCACCAATCCCCAAGCCCTGTCTATCCTCCTTTTTTTTTTTTTTTTTTTCCAGTCAGAGTCTTGCTGTGTTGCCCAGGCTAGAGTGCAATGGCACGATCTCGGCTCACTGCAATCTTTGCCTCCCGGGTTCAAGTGATTCTCCTGCCTCAGCCTCCTGAGTAGCTGGGATTACAGGCGCATGTCACCACGCCCAGCTAATTTTTGTATTTTTAGCAGAGATGAGGTTTTGCCATGTTGGCCAGGCTGGTCTTGAACTGCTGACCTCGTGATCCGCCTGCCTCTGCCTCCCAAAGTGCTGGGATTACTGGCATGAGCCACTGTGCCTGGTCATCTATCCTCCTTTTTAAATAGCTCTGCCATGTGTGCCTGTCTCCCCTGACAGCTCACCCTCATCCTATTTGTCCACATTGCTGCAGAGTAGTCTCTTCCATACACCAGGAGTTCCCAACCCCCGGGCCACAGACCTGACTGGTCTGTAGCCTGTTAGGAACCAGGACACACAGCAAGAGGTGAGCCACCAGTGGGTGAGCTAGTGAAGCTTTATCTGTATGTGCAGCTGCTCCCCATTGCTTGCATTACCACCAGAGCTCTGCCTCCTATCAGATCAGGCAGCATTAGATTCTTATAGGAGCACAAACCCTACTGTGAACTGCACACATAAGGGATCTAGGATGTGCGCTCCTTATGAGAATCTAATGCCTGATAATCTGCCGTTGTCTTCATCACCCCCACATGGGGCCAGATAGTTGCAGGAAAACAAGCTCAGGGCTCCCACTGAAAATAAAGTGCACAAGAAGTGTCATGTGCTTGAATCATCCCGAAACCATCCTCTGCTGTCCAAGGAAAAATAGTTTTCCACAAAACCCCTCCCTGGTGCCAAAAAGGTTGGGATGGTTGCCATACATAACTCTGATGATGAGACCACGAAGCTCAGAATCCTCCAGAGGCTCTCCACTGCCTGTAAGATGAAATAAAATTTATGGGTGTGACTTATCCATAAGGGCCCAGTCTAAACTGCCTCATATTTAATTATATAGTAAGCTATTTGTTTCCTCAAACGTATATATTTTGGCCCATTTCCCAGTCTCCTAGGTTGGAATATGCTCTGTGTGTCACCTGGCCAGCTCATGCTCTTTCTCATTCTCAGCTCAAGTGTTAGGGACTCTATGACACCTTTCTTGATTCTCCCAGTCAGACATATTGTTGCTACTTTTTCTTAACACTTATCCTTTTATCCTTGGCACCACTAAAGCACATATCACATCAGATTTCACTTGTTTGCACATCTGTCTGGCATCTTGAGCCCAGGGACCGTGTCGCCTGTCTTCATGTCCCCAGGCCCTAGTGTAGCTCCCAGCCTATAGTGAGTGCAGAATAAAAGTTTGTAGAATGAGGCCAGGCGCGGTGGCTCATGCCGGTAATCCCAGCACTTTGTGAGGCCAAGGTGGGCAGATCACGAGGTCAGGAGTTTGAGACCAGCCTGACCAACATGGTGAAACCTCGTCTCTACTAAAAATACAAAAAATAGCCGGGTGTGGTGGCACGCGCCTGTAATCCCAGCTACTCAGGAGGCTGAGGCAGGAGAATCGCTCAAACCTAGGAGGTGGAAGTTGCAGTAAGCTGAGATCGCGCCACTGCACTCCAGCCTGTGCAACAGAGTGAGACTCTGTCTCAAAAAAAAAAAAAAAAGTTTGTAGAATGAATGAAACAATTAGTTACACCACAGTTAGTGAGTCATCGATACTTCATCAAGGCTGGGTATTTCGTATAATAAAGTTATTAAAGCTGATAAGCAAAGATCAAGTTACCCAAAGAACAGCACTGCCGGTGATCTAAAGGTCTTTGCCCTCAGGTTGCTTAGGTAACGGAAAGGATAAGAACTCCCCACTGTTCTGGGGCGGATCTTACATTGCTTTTGGAAGAGGCAATAGACTTGGGAAAGAAAGGAGTGTGTGTATTGAGGTATTGAGGGAATGGTTAGGTGGGAGGAGTCAGAGAGGAAGGCTGCAGTAGCCCCTCAGTCGACCCTGGCTGCTTTGTCCTTGGGGCTCAGTGAACAGATTATCTGTTTTCATGGTAAGGGGTTGGGATTCTCTACTTCAGGTGGGCACCCAGAAAGTGAATTGCTCGCCTTTGTTTAAAAATAATGAAAATGGGCCGGGCGCGGTGGCTCATGCCTGTAATCCCAGCACTTTGGGAGGCTGAGGCAGGTGGATCACCTGAGATCAGGAGTTTGATACCAGCCTGGCCAACATGGTGAGACCCCGTCTCTATTAAAAATACAAAAATTAGCCAGGCGTGGTGATGGGTGCCTGTAATCGCAGCTACTCAGGAGGCTGACACAGGAGAATCACTTGAACCCAGGAGGCGGAGGTTGCAGTGAGCTAAGATCTTGCCACTGCACTCCAGCCTGGGCTACAGAGCAAGACTCTGTCTCAAAAACAAACAAACAAAAAACCCAAAAATAATGAAAATGTCTGCCCACCCTTCACTAAGTAAACATAATGAAAATGCACATCTTGTGCCCTCTTTTGCTTTTATTCTATAATACCCAAGCCTACGTTTTGGAACTAAACCCCACGCCCTTTGTGTGAAAGCCATGCGGATCTTCAAAGGGATCTCTTTAGGGGGAACATTAAGTTTGCCCAAGGAGGCACCCTTCTGGGTCTCCAAGGCCACCTGGCTGCAATGCAGTCCAATTCCAGCCTCTGTCTCCCAGAGCACCCCCTGTGCCAGGGCGGCAGGATCCCAGGGGTGTGTCTACCATGGCACCAGACACACACTGGCTGAATGTAGCCTCGTCATCGCTGAGCCCTGTTCACAACCATTTTTGTTTTCGTGCTTTTTCAGTTTTAGGAGCTTTGTTGTATCCCTGGTCAAAACTACTCTGGTGAAGCTCACTAGGTGTCTCTAACTCGGCACCTGAGGAGCAGTTTTCCTGAGCTCCTCATGCAAATGGACGCCACTCCCTTCGGCAAAGTCCTGGGAGCTCAAGGGAGGCTGCCCAGTCAGCTGCGGCCCATCCCAACGCATTGGGGACCTGCCCACCTGGCTCTTAATTTGCATTTTGAAATGTCACCCAAGTGATTCCAGACCAGATAAGAAGATGAGCTTCTCTTGTTATGGAAAAAGGAAGAGAGACAGAGAGAGAAACCTCTGTTTTGTTATTTAGCTATTCCTCAAATTCTTATGACCAGTGATGATATTTTTTAAAAAATCTCCAGAACAACACAATTATTTAAATTTAACTCAGATTTTATTTTAATTTATTAATTTATTTATTTTTGAGATGGAGTCTCGCTGTGACACCCAGGCTGGAATGCAATGGCGCAATCTTGGCTCACTGCAACCTCAGCTTCCCGGGTTAAAGCGATTCTCCTGCCTCAGCCTCCCAACTAGCTGGGATTACAGGTGCCTGCCACCACGCCTGGCTAATTAATTAATTATTATTATTTATTGAAACGGAGTCTCACTCTGTCACCTGGGCTGGAGTGCAGTGGTGTGATCTTGGCTCACTACAACCTCTACCTCCCAGGTTCAAACAATTCTCCTGCCTCAGCCTCCTGAGTAGCTGGGATTACAGGCACACACCACCATGCCTGGCTAACTTTTTTTTGTATTTTTAGTGGAGACAGGGTTTCATCATGTTGACCAGGCTGGTCTCAAACTCCTGACTGCAAGTGATCCGCCTGCCTCGGCCTCCAAAAATGCTGGGATTACAGGCATGAGCCACCGCACCTGGCCTTAACTCAGATTTTAAATATGAGAGTATCAACTTGTAGGGGTGGAAGAGGTGTGATGCCTCTCCTTACACATTGTATGGGTCACAGCCAAGGCTCCTATCTCAAAAGACACAGTCCCACCTCCAGCTCCAGTTCGTCTTCTCATTCATCCCAGATAAGTTTCTTGAAAGAGTATTCTAAGACAACTCTCTCCATGTGTCTCCAGGCCTGGATCTGCCTCAGTTTTTGCTCCTCCCATCTATCGTCCCTTGGTAACTAACGACTTGGGAATGAGAAATGCCCTTTTCAATTCTGACTCTCCTCTTCCTCTCAGCACCAGCAGCGGATGCTGACCTGGTTCTCTGTTTCTTCTGTCTTCTCCTTCTCTGTCCTCTTTGCCATGTGCTCCTTTTCCAGCTGTCTTTTAAAATGTTTGTTGCTGGATCAAGGAGTTTCTCCCCCAGCTTCATTTAGCATCGATAGCTCTTACCTTTGTCGTAATTTCTACCTGTCCTCTGGACATCTTCACCTAAATGTTCACCAGCACTCTAAGCCCCTTTTGACTCAAACTGATTATCTGACCCCTAAATCTGATCCTCCTCCCCCTATATACTCTTTCATGTACCCAGTTCTCTGAGTTAGAATAAATACAAACCATCTGGAACTGTAACTCTGCCCTTCTCTCTCAAAATCCACTTGTTCAGTATAGTCTATGATTTCTGCCCCCTAATTAGCTCTCTGCCTCACAGACATCACCATTGCCAGTGCCTGGCTAAGGCCCAAATTACCTGTGTTCTGGGCTCCTGAGGCCAATTTCTAAACAGCTCCCTGCTGTCACTGTCTTCTGCACCCTGCCCATCCTAAGGCCTGATGCTGGAGTTGGGAAGGAAGAAAAGAAGGAAGGTGTGGTGTGGTGGCACATGCCAGTAGTCCCTGCTCTGGAGGCTAAGGCAGGAGGATTGCTTGAGCCCAGGAGGTAGAGGCTGCCGCAAGTTATAATCACACCACTGCACTCCAGCCTGGACTACAGAGTGAGACGGGGGTTGGGGCGGGGGAGGGAGGAGGAAAAGAAGAAAGGATGGAAAAAAGGGGGCAAGAAAGGGAAAAAAGAGAAAGCAATCCTCTCCTCTCATTAAAATCCTGTGCTGGTTCCCCAATGTCTGAGGGATAAAACCCAAATTTCCTAGAATGGCACAAGGACTCTTTCCCAGCCCATCCCTGACACACCATCCAGCCCTACCCTACCTCCCTGGGGGCCTCTCCCCAGCCCACACCCTTCTCTCCTCCCTTAAAGCACACTCACCCTTTGCCCCTGTGGGCTGTCACACTGCACCTTTCTGTTGCCGGTGGTAATAAATAAATAAATAAATGATTTGATGATCCATGATACTTATTAAAGCATAGTAAAGAAGTCTTTATTCAGGACCAACTCAATAGGGTTAGAAACTGCTGTAACAGAGTCTTGTAGTGCAGGAGAGAGATTGGGCTCAACCAGAAATACAGCCTGAGGAAGTGGGGATTTATAGCCAAGGAGCAGGGTGGGGTCAGTGGATGGAAAATGACTAAGAGGAGACATCAGGGGTCAGAGGGATTCTGGCTAAACCGACCTCACAGAATTCTTGCGGAAGGCAGGTCAGGGTGATCAGACAGCCCCTGGGAGGCGGTGGAGGATGAGGTGCCTGATCAGATATCAAGGGTGATTGCACAGTGAAACTGGGGAGTTCTTTGCTAAAACTAGATTTTACATGGAAGTGCACAGGTAGACCTAATAGAAGTTTCACAAACCTGACTAATGGGCCAGGCGCAGTGGCTCACAACACCAGCACTCTGGGAGGCCGAGGTGGGTGGATCATCTGAAGTCAGGAGTTCCAGACCAGTCTGGCCAACATGGTGAAACCCCATTTCTAGCAAAAATACAAAAATTAGCCAGGCATGGTGGTGCATGCCTGTAATCCCAGCTACTCGGGAAGCTGAGGCAGGAGAATTGCTTGAACCTGGGAGGCAGAGATTGCAGTGAGCCAAGATCACAACCTTGTACTCCAGCCTGAGTGACAGAGTGAGACTCCATCTCAGAAGGAAAGAAAGAGAGAGACAGAGAGAGAGAGAAAGAAAAAGAAAGAAAGAAAGAAAGAAAGAAAGAAAGAAAGAAAGAAAGAAAGAAAGAAAGAAAAAGAAAGAAAGAAAGAAGAAAGAAAAAGAAAGAAAGAAAGAAAGAAAGAAAAGAAAGAAACCTGACTAATGTTTGGCCAAGCTAGGAATCTTTGTCACTTGTTTGTTCTTTCTCAGCTCTGGAAAATTACTCTTCCTACGAGACTGAGCTCAGCTGAGGCCCCAGGGAACACATCCTGAGGCTCACAGAGCCGTTCTTCCTGGCTTCTGTTCTCATGGGTGCGTGCATGCCCTGTTAGAGCAGGCACATGCCATTCTGTGGGCACAGTGCCTTTCCCAGCCATCTGAGCGCCTGAAAAAGGAAGGACCATGCTTCCTGCAATTCTATTTCTCAACTCTCTGTGATCTGATACAATGCTTGTGCAACAAAGATTAGTGCACGAAGTTATGGGGAACTAGTCACTAGTTTGTCTCATAGGGTTTTCCAGCTCCGTTACTTAGTGAGGGAGGGACTTCAAGTATATGCATTTGCCGTGGGGAGGGTTTACAAATTCCAGGTGTAGGAGAGTGTGGCCTGGTTACATTTCTGGGTCTTTCACCCACCTCAATGAACTACTTGAGTTGTATGAGTGGGAGAGGCAAGTCCATGCTGGACTTGCCTCAAAATTCCAGGGAGCAGGGAGCAAAGCCAATATTAGGCCTAGATTGAAGGACCATGGCTTTACCTCAATTCGAGGTCTACTCTCATATGTAAGAGGAGAAAGGCTCTAGCACTTAGTCCCTGCAAATCTGGAAGGAAAGCTGGGGAGAGACCACCCAGAAAAGTAAGTTCCAGTGTCTCTCAACCCTCCACTATGATATTTCAGAAAATAAGGCAGGTTGTTTGCTCTAGTCCCAGAAAATTCTGGAAGGAAGCTAGGCTCTTTGCAATAAATGCAGGAGCAGGGAGCATGGTGGCTGCTCTCATAAGCTAGGGATGGTGCAGGGAGTGGAGCTTAGGGTCTTCCCCAGCCCGTCCTTGTAGAGGAGACACAGAGAAGCCTGGGGACTGCTTTGGGGTTGGATGCTCATGGCTGGTGAGAAGCAGAGCAGCCTGTCAGTAGCCCCTAAAGTGTTGTTCCAGAAGCTTTCCCGGGGCAGAAAAAATTGGGAAGTCAGTCTTCAAAACACTTTTCTCTTAGGAAAGTGGGTCACCACCTCTCAGAGGAAGAGAGTGCATCTTTTATTTGCCTATTGCCTGTGGTCTCATCCGATCTCTGTTCCTTGTGTCTTGCACCACTTTGAACAGCATCTTATTTTAAACTCTCCTCCTTGACTTCCTTACACTGGCAGGAAAGGTTACATGCATTTTGTCTGTATTCATGGCCTCGTAACAGGTTCTCTGCTGCCTGCCTGCTAGGTGTCCTTTAGAAGTGATCCATGACCCAATCAGGTTTACCAAGCGAGTCACTGGGAGTGGCTGCTACTATTTTTTTTTTTTAAATAGGCCATCAGATATGAGAGCTAGAAAGTGTTACCAGAAAGGGGTCCCAATCCAGACCCCAAGAGAGGGTTCTTGGAACTCTCACAAGAAAGAATTTGGGGCAAGCCTATAGAGTTAAGTGAAAGCAAGTTTATCAGAGAAGTAAAGAAACAAAAGAGTGGCTACTCTGTAGGCAGAGCAGAGGCAAGAGCTACTCAACTGAGTGTACTTATAGTTATCACTTGATTATATGCTAAACAAGGAGTGCATTATTCATGAGTTTTCCGGGAAAGAGGTGGACAACTCCCAGAACTGAGGGTTCCTCCCCTTTTCAGAGCATATAAGGTAACTCCCTAACATTGCCATGGCATTTGTAAGCTGTTCTGGTGCTGGCAGGAATGTCTTCTAGCATGCTAATGCATTATAATTACTGTATAATGAGCAGTGAGGAGGACCAGAGGTCACTTTGGTCATCATCTTGGTTTTGGTGGGTTCTGGCTGGCTTCTTTACCTCAAGCTGTTTTATCAGCAAAGTCTTTGTGACCTGTATCTTGTGCTGACCTTTTATCTCATCCTGTGACTAAGAATGCCTAACCTCCTGGGAATGCAGTCCCGTAGCTCTCATATTTGATGATCCATGATATTTATTAAAGGATAGCCTTAATTGACCTACCCATATTCAAGATGGAGTAGGTCTGGTTCAAATGCCTCTGACAAAAGTATAGAAACATTGCTGATTGGCATTGCTATATATCATTTGGATAATTTTTCTGTTGTTCCTAGGAAACATTGCAATGTTTACTATTGTTGATGAAAAGAGGTAAACTCTGTAAAATATTTGAAAAGATTTATTCTAAGCCAAATATGAGTGACCAATGACTCCTGACACAGGAAATCCTCAACCCTAGGAAATCCTGAGAACATGCGCCCAAGGTAGCTGGGCTACAACTTGGATTTATACAATTTAGGGAAACATAAGACATCAATCAATACACGTAAAATGTATGCAGCTTCGGTCCAGAAAGGCAGACAACCGGAAGTGGGGGCTTCCAGGTCATAGGTGAATTCAAGAATTTTCTGGCCAGGCATAGTGGTTCACACCTATAATCCCAGCACATTGGGAGGCAGAGGCAGGAGGATCAGTTGAGCCCAGGAGTTCAAGACCAGCCTGGCAACATAGTGGGACATTGTCTCCACAAAAAATAAAAAAATTAGTCTGGCGTGGTGGCATGTGACTGTAGTCCCAGCTACTTGGGAGGCTATGGTGGTAGGATTGCTTGAGTCTGGGAAGTCGAGCCAAGATCATGCCACTGCACTCCAGCCTGGGCAAGAGAGTGAGACCCTGTCTCCAAAAAAAAAAAAAAAAAAAAAAAAAAGTTCTAATTGGCAATTAGTTGAAAAGGGTTAAGTTATTATCTAAAGATTTAGAATCAGTAGAAGGGAATGTCTGGGTGTCTGGGTTAAGATAAGGGGTTGCGGAGACTAAGGTTCCTATCATGCAGATGGAATCAATAGAAGAGAATGTCTGCGTTAAGATGAGGAATTGTGCCTGAATTCCAAAGGCACGTGGGTGTAATGAGAACGAGGCATGTTTGTCCTCACTTTTCATCATGGCCTGAACTAGTTTTTCACACTAACTTTGGAATGCCCTTGGTGGAGAGGTCCATTCAGTTGGCTGGGGTACTTAGAATTTTATTTTTGGTTTACATTATCTATAAGGAAAACAAATTTGGTGTAGGTAGTTGCCTAGGAACTTATGTCCTCTGTTGGAGGGCAGGGGTTCTAGCTCTGGACCAATCTCAATGTTTGCATTGTAGTTGTATGATAAATATGCAATTAACCAAATAGAGTAAACTAAGCAATTGACCTAATCATGGATGGTTTATCTGTTAGGGTAAGTTTTTTACTCATCCATGGCCCCAGTTTATTATTTATTTACCATTTAGACACTGAGTCTTCCTTGGTTCAATTTACTGTGACCTAGTTTTTTTTTAAATATTGCTAAATAAATTCAAATCCATCTTTACCATTAACATCGAGGTAGAAATGCTCTTCAAGTTTTATGAGTCTGTTAATCCATGAAATTCTGAGAAATTTACAAGGAGAATGATGGTATTACATAATGTAAGTGTCACAGTGAAATAGTCACAGTTATTCAGGAGAACTTCTTTTCTCCCTTTCTGTGTTAGAGCTGATATGTCAGCAGAACAGAGTGCGCTCATTCAGAGTGATCTCTTAGTTGCTGTTCTTTGGTTTGGTCATGGGTGAGTTAGAGTGCTGTGTTCTTACACCAAACCCGATTTGTGTTACATGAGCTGGTTGTGGTTGCACATTCTTTTTGAAAGTGTTTTCCTCAATCTATGATTTCTAACATTTGAAAGGGAATTGTTTTAAAAAATAAAGTGCAGCAATACAAAATATTTACTTGTAACAATTCCAAATTCAAAAGTAAATGAGATGTGTTTAGTACCCATGACGAAGATCCCTAGTAAATCTTTTTTATTTTTATTTTTTTAAGCTTCAGGGACACATGCTGAAGCTGGTAAATCTCTATTTCCAGTTTCCTGATTGTAAATTCAGACTGTCTTGTAAACAGCTGTAAACTAAGAATAAAACTCTGAGCTCTGCAAGCATGTGAATGGACCCCTTCTCTGGGCCAAGGGCATTCCAAAGTTCAGGCCATGATGGGAAGAGGGGGCAGGACATGCCTTCCTCCCTTTGGAATTCAGACACAACTGACCAACATTAATGTTAAAATAGAGATCTTAATACTAATGAAACAGCTTTTTTTTTTTTTTGTAGCAGTCAGACACCAAATTCCAGCCTGGTCCTAGAATAGCATCACATGACAAAGAGCAGGCCCTGAAAGAAATTGAAGTATTTTACCCCAAAATGTATTTCTTTGGCATGTTTTGAAATGGTCCTGCAAAGCTGTCTCTTGTGGGGGAAATCTACATTCTGTAGAGAATCCCCTTCCCTTTTCCAGGTTTTTTCCTGATCCAGGAGAGAATTAACTACGAGTTTGGCACATTTTAAGTCTGATAAGAGACATTTACAATCTATCCTCTCTGAAACCTTCTACCTGGAGGCTTTATCTGCATAATAAGAACCTTGGTCTCCACAACCCCTTATCGTAACCCAGACACTTCCTTCAGTTGATTCCAGGTCTTCAGATAAACTCTTTTAAACCAATTGCAAATCAGAACATCTTTGAATCTACCTATGACCTGGAGCCTCCCCGCCCGATTATAGTTGTTTCACCTTTTCAAACCGAACCAATGTACATCTTGTATCTATTGATTGATGTCTTATGTCTCCCTAAAATGTATAAGACCAAGCTGTACCCCAACCACCTTAGGCACGTGTTCTCAGGACCTCCCGAGTCTGTGTCACGGGCACGACCTTAACCTTGGCAAAATAAACTTCTAAATTGATTGATACTTGTCTCAGATACTTTTTGGTTTACACACCAAAAAGGCTTTTTTTACTTTTATTTTACATGGAGTACTGAAGTCCTTTCAAACCAAAACTGAACTAGCCCCCATCCGGAGAAGTCTGAGAAAAGAAAATGTCACGCTATTGCTAAGTAAAACCCATGTGTTTTCAGTCATGGTTAGCAGCAGGGACCAATTAAGCAGGTGGGAAAGAAAAAGGCTTTCCCTGAAGTCAGGTCTTTGTTATGACATCTTATGTTTGAAATGAATTTTCTGAACATTAAACACCAATGAGTCACCGAGTTCCATGGAATAACAATTGTGACTGTGATCCTCTACAAACGGACAATGAGATGCCTGCCTTCAGCTCTCTAGTGTCTTCTAACAGTGGCATTCACCTCTCCTCCAGCCACCACCTGGCACTGAGATAGCTTAGAGGCACCCTGAACTCAGTTTTCAAGACAGCTGCCTGGGAAATTTCTTGAGTGAAGGCCCAGTCCCTGAAAAGTTCTGAGGAAAACTAAAGTGTGACTCAGAAGTCCATTGATTCACCCCTGCTCATCTTTCCTTCCTCACTCTGGGTCCGGAGAGAGGGTGAGGCTCTCCCTCGGGAGGTTAGCCCCACGCGTATATTGCATGATTGACCAATTCCTTATTAAATGAGAAAAACGGGAAAGAGAAAAAATATAGAAGAGCCTGAATGTTACCTTCAGGCAGGAGGCTCTGGAGACGGGTTTTCCAGGGGTCTTTTTTGGAGAATGCCAGAATCCCCTCTGCTTTCCCATCTGAAAATGGCTGAAGAGGGGAAGAAATGGCCTGTACGCATTTCCAGTGGTGCCACATCAAACTGCTTTTTCACGTTTGATTATAGACAACGAAAACCCAGGCCTTTGTCCCATGAGCATCAGAACCACTCATCAGAGTAGTTCTCCAACTGTGCACTCATCTCACTTATTATTAGAAACCTGGTTACTTTTGGTTTTGATTGCTTCTCATTATAAGCCTGTTAGAATACGATATAATGAAAATGTGATAAACATTTATGAAACAACTTTATGCCAGATATGTCTCTCTAGGAGGATGCTGAGCTCAGAATTATTAACCTACGTAATTTGGAAATAGTTCTTCAATCTTATTTAAATCCAGGTGGGATGGCAGAGAATGCCAGACTACAGAACCCCTTCCTAGGTCTCCCTGCCCAGTAAACCTATTTTGAGAAGAAGCCATTGAGGTTAGGAATGACTTGCCCTTTGGTGAAGCTATATGGGCTCACACTTTCATTTTGTAGATACTAACACCACAAGTGGTCAGGCAATTTGCTCCACTGAAGGTATCAGCCAATGCAATCAAACAAGAGAAAACGATTAGAGAGATGAACATTGGAGAAAGAAGTACAACTATTTCTATTTATAGGTGATGTAGTATAGCTATAGATGACTTAAAAGAATCAATAAAAAATACAAATAGTAAAAAATTTCAGTAAGGCAGCAGGTTATAAAGTTAATACATAAAAACAATTTTCTCATCCACAAACAAAAGCTAGTTGGAAAATATAATGGAAAAAACTTGCTTACATACAATATCAACAAAGAGATAAAATAACTAGAAATAAACTAAACAAGAAATGTGCAAATCTTACATGAACAAAACTTTAAAGGAAAAAGGAAAAAAATTATTTGAAGGAACAGAAAGACCCAGCATGTTCTTGGCTAGAACAACTAAATCAAAGTACAAATGTTGGTTTATAACAGGGTAATATGTAAATTCAATATGTTTCTAATAGATTACCAACAAGATTTATTTTTATTTTCATTTATTTTATTTTTATTTTATTTTATGTTTTTGAGACAGAGTCTCGCTCTGGTGATCCACTCACCTCTGCCTCCCAAAGTCCTGGGATTATAGGCGTGAGCCACTGCATCTGGCCTGTTTGACTACAGTTTAATTTTATTTTTTTAATTATTATATATATATTTTTTTGAGACAGGGTCTCGCTCCATCATCCAGGCTGGAGTATAATGGCACCATCTCAGCTCACTGTAACCTCTGCCTCCCAGGTTCAAGCAATTCTCCTGCTTCAGCCTCCCAAGCAGCTGGGATTATAGGCACACGCCACCAGGTCCAGCTAATTTTTGTATTCTTAGTAGAGATGGGGTTTCACCATGTTGGCCAGGCTGGTCTTGAACTCCTGACCAAGTGATCTGCCTGCCTTGGCCTCTCAAAGTACTGAGACTACAGGTGTAAGCCACCATGCCCTGCCAACAAGATTTTTTTCTTTAGAGCTAGACAAGTTGACTCTTAAATTTGTATGGGTGAGGCCGGGTGCGGTGGCTGACACCTGTAATCCCAGCACTTTGGGAGGCTGAGGAGGGTGGATCATGAGTTCAGGAGTTTGAGACCAGCCTGGCCAACATGGTGAACCCTCATCTCTACTAAGAATACAAAAATTAGCTGGGTGTGGTGGCATGCGCCTGTAATACCAGCTACTTGGGAGGCTGAGGCATGAGAATCGCTTGAACTCAGGATATGGAGGTTTCAGTGAGCCAAGATCGCACCACTGCACTCCAGCCTGGGTGACAGAGAGGGACTCCAGCTCAAAAAAAAAAAAAAAAGTTTGTATGGGAGAAAAAGCAACAAGGAGAGCCAGGAAAATCTGAAGCAGAAGAGCAGTAAGGAGAATGCGCTGTACGAGATATTGAATCATAAGAGAAAACCTCTATAACTGAAAGAATCTGACCAACAGAACCAAATAGAAAGTTTAGAAAGTTCAGAATCAGACCCAAGTATATGCAGCTATTTGATATATAACATAGGTGGCATGTGAAGACATTAGTGAAAATGGTTTTTCAATAAACAGAGGTGGAAAAACTGAAAGTCACTTGAAAGCGAGTTAAAATTGGATCTATATTTCCCATACACCAGAATAAACTTTAAAGGGATCAGCAATCTAAATATAAAAAATAAAACTGTGCAAATACTAGAAGAAAACATTAGTGAACTCTATAATCTAGAGATTATTCTTTTTTTTAAAAAAAAAGAGATTGCTCCTTGTGAATAGAGAAAGTTTTTCTAACTACGACTCAGAAACAATAAAGGAAAAATCATTAAAGTTGACTACATTAAAAGAGTGTATGCCAAAATCACCAGAAGCAATGTCAGAAAACAGATGACAAGCTGGGGGAAATATTCGCAATTTATATCACTTAAGACTAATTAAGCCACAACTAGGGAGGGGCGTGTGGTTTGCTCCTGGCATCCACTTGGTGAATCTCCTCCAGAGATTCTGTGAAACATGTGTGATGGCAGGACAGCCCCCACAACCACAAGTTATCGGGTTCATGCGGTCAACAGTGTCGCAGTTGAGAAACTCTGCCTTAGGGTAAGCACAGAGGGAGTAAAACAGCTTGAGTTCTCAAAATTGAACTCATGTAAAACACCTGGCTAGTATCTTCCCTACTTCCATTTATGCTAGATGTTTCTGTTTTCCAAGACTGCTCTGTCTGAGATGGCAGATGGAGTTTTCATACTTACTTGGCTAACCTGTCAGTACCCTGGGGTCTAATTCCTATGCCTGGAGAGAACTGGAAGTCCTTGAACACACGGCTCAATGATGTGGGCTCTGCTCATTTATATACATTTATTTTTAAATTTAATATATATTTTAGTTTTTTTATTTCCATAGTTTTTTGGAGAACACGTGGTATTTGGTTACATGGCAAGCTTTTTTTTTTTTTTCCTGAGATGGGGTCTTGCTCTGTTGCCCAGGCTGGGGTGCAGTGGCATGATCTCAGCTCACTGCAACCAACCTCCGCCTGCTAGATTCAAGCAATTCTCCTGCCTCAGCCTCCTCAGTAGCTGGCACTACAGATGTGTGCCACCATGCCTAATTTTTTTATATTTTTAGTAGAGACGGGGGTTTCACCATGCTGGCCAGGCTGGTCTCGAACTCCTGACCTCATGATCTGCCTGCCTTGGCCTCCCAAAGTGCTGAGATTACGGGCATGAGCCACTGCGCCCTGCCAAGTAAGTTCTTTAGTGGTGATTTGTGAGATTCTGGTGCATCTATCACCTTAGCAGTATACACTGAACTCAAATTTGTAGCCTTTTATCCCTCACTCCCTTCCCACCCTTTTCCCCCAAGTCCCCAAAGTCCATTGTATCATTCTTATGCCTTTGTATCCTCATAGTTTAGGTCCTACTTATGAGTGAGAACATACAATGTTTGGTTTTCCATTCCTGAGTTACTTCACTTAGAACAACAGTCTCCAATCCCATCCAGGTTGCCAATGCCATTAATTCATTCCTTTTTATGGCTGAGTAGCATTCCACCGTATACGCATACCACAGTTTCTTTATCCACTCTTTGATTGATGGGCATTTGGGTTGGTTTCATGTTTTTGCAATTACGAATTGTGCTGCTATTAACATGCGTGTGCAAGTATCTTTTTTGTATAATGACTTATTTTCCTCTGCGTAGATACCCAGTAGTGGGATTGCTGGATCAAATGGTAGTTCTATTTTTAGTTATTTAAGGAATCGCCATACTATTTTCCACAGTGGTTGTACTATCCATCAGCAGTGTAGAGGTGTTCCCTCTTCACCAAATCCACGCCAACATCTATTATTTTTTGAGTTTTTGATTTTTTGATTAAGGCCACTCTTGCGGGAGTAAGGTGGTATCACATTGTGGTTTTGATTTGCATTTCCCTAATCATTAGTGATGTTGAGCATTTTTTCTTGTTTGTTGGCCATTTGCATATCCTCTTTTGAGAACTGTCTATTCATGCCAGCCCACTTTTTGATGGGATTTTTTTTTCTTGCTAATTTGTTTGAGTTTCTTGTAGATTCTGGATATTACTGCTTTGTCGGATGTATAGATTGTGAAGATTTTCTCCCACTCTGTAGGTTGTCTGTTTACTCTGCTTGACTATTCCTTTTGCTTTGCAAAAGCTATTTAGTCTACTTTTTTTTTTTTTTTTTTTTTTTTTTTTTTTGAGACGGACCAGACTGGAGTGCGGTGGCGCCATCTCGGCTCACTGCAGCCTCTGCCTCCCGGGTTCAAGTGATTCTCCTGCCTCAGCTTCCCCAGCAACTGAGATTACAGGCACGCGCCATTACACTCGGCTAATTTTTGTATTTTTAGTAGAGACGGGGTTTTGCCATGTTGGCCAGGCTGGTCTGGAACTCCTGACC
Organism: Homo sapiens; assembly: GCF_000001405.40. NCBI lineage: Eukaryota > Metazoa > Chordata > Mammalia > Primates > Hominidae > Homo > Homo sapiens. The sequence goes on along the minus strand of NC_000006.12, from coordinate 2,972,007 downwards.
TCCAGTGATCCGCCTGCCTCGGCCTCCCAGTGTTGGGATTACTGGCGTGAGCCCCGCGCCCGCCCCTGGCTGGCTTCTTTGCCGCAAGCTGTTTCATCAGCAAAGTCTTTGTGACCTGTATCTAGTCTGCTCATTTTTAAATGCGTGTTCTGCACTCCCCAGTGGATGGCCGTGTATCAGGAGCCGGCCCTTTTCTGGAAACAGGCCAGCATTCAGTCTCCACAGAGGCACCATAAACACGCTGGTGGGGCCCTGTACTGTGGTCAAAGTCAAGGCCTCCGGGCAGGACTCGCGGCCCCTCCGGCTGGCGGGTGGGGTTGACCCGCACGTCCCGCCCCGCCTCTCCCTTCGCGCTCCGGACGGGCGACGGTAGCTCGAGACCCGGGACTCCGCCCGCCTCCCCGCGAGTATTTGAGGTCCGGGGCGGCTCCGGCGCCTCTGCCCGCCGTTCTGCTCGCTCGCTCCCCGCTCTGGAGTACGTGTCTGGCTTGGGAGCCGCTCGGACACGCTGGCTTGGGTTTGTCGCTCCAAAGTCGGGAAAGCCGGGGGCGCGAGCGGGGAGGGGGGCAGGGTGGGGGTCGCGCGGGGCCGGGAACGCGCGTGGGTCGACGGCGCGCGGGGACGCTGGAGCCCCGAGAATGGGGCGTGGCCGCGCGGGGCTGTGACCCCAGCAGTCCCAGCGGGGCGGGGGCCCGGGCGAGCGTCCGGCTTGGGTTCCCTTCCGGAGCCTCGCAGCGGCAGAGAACGGCGACGCGGCCGGGTGAGTCGTGCGTGGCCGCGAGCCCGGCCGGTGACGCCGCGGACCCGAGGACCCCGGGCGCCCAGGCCCAGCGCCCACGGAAGAGGCGGCCGGCGCGGGATGGGGGCGGCGCAGAGCCTCCCGGGCCACAGGTGACCCCGGTCGGCCCCGCGGCCTCGGTGACCCCTCGCCCGCTCCGCGACCCGGAGGACGCGTGCTCAGTCTTGGGGCGCCGGGTGTTAGGAGCCGGGCGGGAGGCGGAGAGAGGCCGAGGGGTTCGGCGCCAAACGGTGCCATCCGGGCCCCCTGCGTGTGTTCACTGGACTGGCCGTGCTGGGCTTGGCCAATCCGCAGCACTTTCAGGTCGCCCAGACCTGTGGAGACGATCGTGTGGACCAGCCCGGATCTCCTTACCGCTCTGTGTTTGAATTAAACTCCCTACAGGCAAACTATTACAGGCTTTGATGTCTTCAAGGCAAAGAGGAAACTTTAACTACAAATTGGCATTTAAGTTATTTTCTTCCTTTTTTTTTTTTTTTTTTTTGTCCTAAAGATTGGCTTCGGAAAACTGAGGTACAGAAAATTAATAATTAATGTTCACATGCTGTCAGGAATACTCAGATGCGAGGGGGCATCTGAGTCCATTTTTTGGGCACTTTTGCTTTCTGGGATGCTCTCGTGCCTAATGACAGCCCTGCAGCTGCCTGCATCCTTTCTGGTGGGGGTCAGGCCTGATGCGATGAGATCTGATGTGTTCAGTGACCTTCTAGTTAAGGTCCTGGGCCGGCCTTGTATTGCTGGGGCTTTTATGTGTGCTGGGATTAACACCAGTGACTGCTGTTATCAGCATAGATGGCGTTTGTTCTCATTTCAGGACCGTATCTGAGTAATTGCATCCATTGTGATGTGCCACCAAAGAGAAAAGTACTTTGGTCATACTCGACTATGTAAACTAAGTATTTTAAGTTAAGGCCAATTCCAATGCATTTTATTACAATTCAGCATGAAACAGTTAACACGGACCAGTAACAGTAGAGTGAAATTAGCATGAATAGAACCAACATTCTTTTCCACATATGTAATAATAAGGGCACCCAAGCAGATGTTGTACGGTCCCAGGGAAGACCACACACCTTACATTTCCAGGCTTACTGCACTTGGGATTAAGCCAAGGCATCCAAAGAAAGAAAATTTTTTTTTTTTTTTTTTTTGCCAGGCTGGAGTGCAGTGGTGCGATTTCGGCTGACTGCAACCTCCACCTCCCGGGCTCCATACCTGGCTAATTTTTGTATTTTTAGTAGCAATGGGGTTTCACCATGCTGGCCAGGCTGGTCTCAAACTCCTGACCTCGTGATCTGCCCGCCTTGGCCTCCCAAAGTGCTGGGATTACAGATGTGAGCCACTGCGCCTAGCCTGAAAATAATGTTTAACTCCCATTTATATGTTAGGCTGCTCAGATATATTAAACACATACACACACAACACACACACACACACACATACACACTGCACAAGGAAACAGAGGGACAAAGCAGGAAGTCCAAGTTTCCATTAAACCAGTCTTTAAATGGTTAAATTTAGTAGGAAATAAAGGCATCCTTAATAGAAGTTGAGAAGCACAATTCAATAGTGACACCTAAAAAAAAATTAAGACTTGATTAGTTGAATAAAATCAATTGTGAACATTGCTCAGTTACTGGTGATGCTACAGGAAAAAAAAAGTGATGCCAGGATAGATTTGTTAGGCTTGTTTAAAAAATACATAAAATTGTTCATTAATAAGACTTTAATATCCAGTTTTTATGTCTGTGATTAAATATCATTTTTTATTTTTAAATGGTATAGTTTTTAAATTTTGAAACAATTAATTTTGCATAAATATTTGTCTATGTACATATATACATGTGTATTCACATATATATATGAAGGACACTTAGCTATCTTATTTACTGAAGCTAAAGAAGTAGGTCCTTAAAAAGCCATTGACAGGTCTTGAGTTTGCAACGTGACTGTGAAACAGGCATCCTTGTTACTCACACGTTTGCTGAAAGGATAACAGAAAGCCCTCGATAGAAAAATCTCACTAGATTGTTTATAATTTGTTGATATTTGGAGTATCTTGAGTGGTAAACTTTAAATGTGGATTTATTTTTTCTTTCCTTTTAGGATTTGGATCTCTCCAATCTTTTTTATGATTAATTGTTCAGTGTTTATGCATTATTGCGAAGTGATAATGAAAATGCTCAAACTCAGGGTCCTGCAGGCACTGTGGGGGAGGCAGTGGGGACGTGAGGGGATTACAGATCCAGTAGAAGCCCCCCGACCCCCATCTGCTTCCACCCCATCTCCTTCCAGAACACCACCGATAGCCACACCGAAGAGTTCTCCCATTTGCTGGTTCCCGGACAAAAAAGCTGCTGATCCCTTGAGCACACTGCAGTGAAGCTCCCAGCTGACATGTCCTGTCCATGTAAACAGAACTTCCTCCATGTAAACAGAACTTCCAGCATTGTTTGTGTTTTCCTCTTAACTATGTACTGACATCCAAGGGTTGTTAGGAATGTTTGGAAAGTCTAGGTACAAAAGAGAGACCTAAATAAAATAAAGCAAACACCAGCCACCATAACAAAAGGACCCCAGAGATAGGCAGCGCAGGGAACGGAAGACTCAATAAACTATAATTGTGGTATCCAAAGAATTAGTATAGAAGGCAAAATGGAATCAAATATCATGATGAAAAGTGTAAATGAGGGAATAAGGTCAGAAGAGAACATTCATTTATATGATTTCTTCTTTTTTTTTTTAACCTTTTAAACCTCTATTTAGGTTCAGGATACATACGCAGGTTTGTGACATAGGTAAACTCATGTCGCAGGTTGTTGTGCAGGTTATTTCATCCCCCAGGTACTAAGCCTAGTACCCAATAGTTATTTTTTCCTCTCCCTCCTCCCACCCTTCACCCTCCACCCTCTGATAGGACCCAGTGTTTGTTGCTCCCCTCTTTGTGTCCACGTTCTCATCATTTAGCTTCCACTCATAAGTGAGAACATGCGGTATTTGGTTTTCTGTTCCCTGCGTGTGTTTGCTAAGGATAATGGCCTCCAGCCCCATCCATGTTTCTGCAAAACACATGATCTCATTCTTTTTTATGGTTGCATAGTATTCCATGGTGTATATGTACCACAATTTCTTTATCCCATCTGCCATGCATGGGCATTTAGGTTGATTCCATGTCTTTGCTATTGTGAATAGTGCTGCGGTGAACATTCGCGTGCGTGTATCTTTATGGGAGAATGATTTCTATTCCTCTCTCCTCTGGTTGTATACTCAGTAATGGGATTGCTGGGTTGAATGGTAGTTCTGTTTTTAGCTCTGAGGAATCGCCACACTGCTTTCCCCAATGGTTGAACTGTTTTACACACCCACCAGCAGTGTGTAAGTGTTCCCTTTTCTCCACAACCTTGCCAGTATCTCTTAATTTTTGACTTTTTAATAATAGCCATTCTGACTGGCGTGAGATGGTATCTCATTGTGGTTTTGATTTGCATTTCTCTAATGATCAGTGATACTGAGCCTTTTTTCTTATGGCTGTTGGCTGCATGAATGTCTTCTTTTGAAAAGTGTCTGTTCATGTCCTTTGCCTTCTTTTTAATGGAGTTGTTTGTTTTCTTCTTGTAAATTTGTTTAAGTTCCATATAGATGCTGGATATTTGACCTTTGTCAGATGCATAGTTTGTGAATATTTTCTCCCATTCCGTAGGTTGGCTGTTTACTCTGTTGATAGTTTCTTTTGCTGTGCAGGAGTGCTTAAGTTTAATTAGATCCTATTTGTCAATTTTTGCTTTTGTTGTGATTGCATTTGGCATCTTTGTCATGAAATCTTTGCCTGTTCCTATGTCCAGAATGGTATTGCCTAGATTGTCTTCCAGGGTTTTTTATAGTTTTGGCTTTTACATCTAAGCCTTTAATCCATCTTGAGTTGATTTTTGTACATGGTGTATGTAAGGAAGGGGTCCAGTTTCAGTCTTCCAGAGCAGAACTTTCTAACTTGTGTGTGGGTGTTGTGCCCTGGGCAGGTTAACAGATCCCTCCAACTCGAGGAGTCTGGGTGGCTGGAGCTCTGCACTGGTCACCTTTGGGGTGAGTAGCCTGGCCCCAAAGTGACATACAAACATCATTTTCTGTGTGTGTCACAGCCTGGAGAAAGGTGAGAAGTCCCAGATGATATCAGTCTAAGAGTTTTGTACTTGACAGAAAAAGAGAACAAAGAGCCAGTCTGGAGGAAATCAGCAAGTGCCTTACATTTTTTTCCCAAGCTAGGCTTGGTGGCTCATGCCTATAATCCCAGCACTTTGGGAAGCCAACGTGGAAAGATAGCTTGAGGCCGGGAGTTTGGGACCAGCCTCGGCCACCGAGCGAGACCCTGTCTCTACAAAAAATAAAAATGAACTGGGCGTGGTGGTGTGCACCTATCATATCTAGTCTTTGGACTAGAAAAATCTAAAATGGTTTGGTAAGACTTTGCTGTTGCTTTAAAGCAATGGTCCCCAACCTTTTTGGCACCAGGGACCAGACTGGTTTTGTGGAAGACAGTTTTTCCACTGATAAAGTTGGGGGTATGGTTTCAAGATAAAACTGTTCCACCTCAGATCATCAGGCATTCGATTCTCATACGCAGCATGCAACCAAGATCACCACGTGCACAGTTCACCGTAGGTTCACTCTCCTACAAGACTCCAACGCTGCCACTGACCTAACAGGAGGTGGAGCTCAGGCGGTGATGTTCGCTCACCTGCTGCTCACCTCCTGCTGCGTGGCCCAGTTCCTAACAGACCACAGACGGATCTGCTGGGGACTCCTGCATATAAAGTAAGTGTGTTTGGAGGGAAAGTAACTAATTTAAAGAGATTCCCACCAGCCAATTAGAACAAGAAGAAAAAAAAACATCAGCAAATTGAAATATATTGTTTGTAAAAAGCCCAAGCTCATTAATAAGTTCAGATGAGGCAAACAAGATGAGCCTTAAAAAGGCACAAAAGAATTCAGTAATGTTTGCACTGTGTCTAGGATTGCTATGGAAAAAGTTTAGTTATTATAGCTTCCTGGGCTAACAAACACAGTAGTTGTAAAAACCAACTTAAAGGCCTAAACATTCAACAAAAAGACCAAGTTATACCATACAACACTGGTCTATGCAACTCAGATAGAGGAAAACTCCGTATTTCATTTTAAGGAAGGACATCAGGCTACAAGACACTGAAATTTGGTGTTTGGTTGAGGCCTTATAAAATCTCAGTGAAGGCAGGATTGGAGCTCAAAGCTGCCCTAACTAGTCAGATATGCTTGGCATCAAAGAGTGTGTGCCCTGTGCTGAGAAACTGCTTTGATGCACAAAGACCATGAACCAGGGAGCCCCACCCTGTTTTTACAGAAAGGGATGATCCCTTAGGATTTAACCCCATAAGATTAATTTTCCCCATAGGAAACTGTTAAAATAAGCATTAGTGTTACCTTAGGAAAGGAATAGGAAAATATAACAAAGATAAAATAATTAAATCTGTGATATTAATGAATAACTTTTGCTAGACATAAGTACAGGTATAGAAATAAGTTTTGTAATCATTGTACTGTTTGAAAGTCTTAGGAGAGGCTAGCTTACTAGATTTATATGTCTTGATTTATCAGATTTGTAGAAGTTCAAAAGTCTACTAAGGTTTGTGCAATTTGTAAGTTTGCATAAAGCATTAAAAAATTAGACATATTAAAATATGTCATCAACACTTAAATAAGAAAAAATAATTTCTTTGCCCTGTAAGCAATGTGCTGTGTTTGAGAAAAAAAATTAGTCTGACCAGCCTGCCAAACTATAAATTGGCCATGTATTATAGTAGGGAAACTTGTCCCCGTCTATGAACATTTCTCTTCGGCGTGAAAGTCGCGCATGCTCAGCAGCATGGTGACAGACGGAGGGAGAGGAAAATGCAGCTGGTAGATTATTCCTTGTGTCGAAGCATATGAAAAAAGTACTGAAAGGGTTTGACTGACCTGTAGAACATTTGGGGAGAATTTGAAAATACATAGTACATAGAAAACTAAGGAAAGGGGGGAAAGGCACTATTAATATAAGGCAAATCAGCATTACATAAAAAGGAAATGGGTTCCCATCCCACCACCTGGCTTAGCATCGAATGCTATTTAGTGATAATAAAGCAAACCTGTGGATCGGGACCGGGCCCTCGGCCTCTAGATTAGGAAGGCAATAGATAATGTCTAGAATTTGGCCGGGTGCCTGTAGTTCCAGCACTTTAGGAGGCTGACGCTAAAGGATTGCTTGAGGCCAGGAGTTCGAGGCTGCAGTGGGCCGTGATCATGCAACTGCATTCCAGCCTGGGCGACAGCGTGAGACCCCTACCCTAATAAAAATAAATACATACATAAAATAAAACATGATAAAGTTATTAGGTCAAAAATAGTAGTATACACGTTATGTAGAAATATGGTGGTAAATACCAGAAGAAAGAGCAAAGGGTTTGGAAGTGATTGCTTCTGGGGAGTTGGGAGGGCTGAGAAGGAGCTTGTTGTCTTTTATAACATCTCTTTTAACACCACCTGATTTTTAAACTGAATGTATATATAGTAATTTCATAAAAAGAAGAGTTAACCAACCCCCTCCATAAATTATATGCTATAGAAAATGTGAAAATCCAGAAAAACACAAAAAACATAAAAATTACCGTTAGAAACATTTGGTGTATAGTATTTCCCTCTATTCTGTCTGTAAATTGTGCCTACACTTACCTTTTTTCCTAATTTACATGGATAAATTTAAATTGTATGTATAGTTTTATATCTTTTTTAATGTAATCTTGTGTATTCCCATGTCATTACTGTGATTTTTATTATTATTAGCCCTATTTATATCCCATAATGTTGTACATAATGTTTTATTATGTACAAAACCTGTGAGTTTTACCTTCAGTGAAATTCCTAGAAGTGGAATTTTTAATTCAGATAGTATGAATGTTTCCATGACATTTTCTTTTCTTCCTTCACTTTATTGTATTTTACTTTTATTTTTGACATAATTCTAAATCATACTCAGGAAATACTGGTGTACCAATTTACAGTATTGTTACTGATCGTGGGTTCTTAGATTCTCATGCAGTGGAAATTGACATGAGACAGAGAAAGTGTCCCAGACAAGGCTTTATAATGGGCTTATGCTGGAGCAGGAGGGCAGCGGCACAGGGGCAGGAGTTCCCGGGCTGGCCCTCGGGACAGGTGTTCCTGGTGTTTTAGGGTGACATGGATAGTCATGAGGTGTGTCAGCAGCATTACACACGCTAGTGGCAGGCACCGGGGAACATCATGTTAGCACAGATGTGTCATGATCAGGGCATGGCAGATGAGCCCCTGAGGAGAGGGTTTTAGTAATACAACAAGGCAAGAGGTCAGGATCGTCGTTCTGATCCTGTATGCATGTGGGCATCAGGCTTAACTCCCTTGGGTAAGATTTGGGGTGGAACATGGCTTATCTTGTTTCCCTCCCTGGTTTGCATGGTCTGGTGGGCAGGTGTGATGGCGTGGGGGATGTATGGAAAATACGGGAGTGGGTACGGGCCAAGCTCTGTCCCTGCTGCCTCCGTATTACTTGCATGGCGTGAGAAGGATTGCCTGTCTTTGTCAGTATTAGCATGAATTGTTTTTGTATTTGCAAGGTTCATGGTTTGAAAAGGCATCTTTAATGTACTCTCCACCATTGCTTTTTGGGAAGGCTGTGCACCATGGTGTTAAGAGAGTGAACTACAGAGCCATGCGGTCCTGGCTTCCAGCCGTCATTCTGCCATTGTTGCCCTGGGTTCTCTGGAGACATGGTACTTAAAGAGCTAAGGCCCGATTTCTTTGCTTATAAAACGTAGGTGTTCTCAGCAGCTATCTCAGAGGGTAAGGGTCTTTCAGTGTGGACCTAGCACATAGTATATATCAAAAAAGTGATATTTTTTTCTGAAGTTGAAACTTTTAAATATAATTATTAGCTATTGTCTTTCTTTTTTGGGGGTAAATTTGTTAATGTCCTTTGCACGTGTTTCTACTGGGGTCTGTTTTTCCTATTTTTTTAGTAGCCCAGTTACTCCATTATTTTTCAGTTTTAAGAGTATTTTACTGATTCTGGCTGCTTTTTGGGTAGACCATCAAATTGTTTGCTAACTGTGCTCATTTTGTCTCCTTTCTGACAATCTCCTTTCTCATTATGTTTCATGAGTTGTATTTGCCTTTGCCAGAACTATCTGAACAAAGTTACACAAGGTTGGGACGACAGATATTTTTATCTTGTTCCTGTTTGGGGAGTTAAGGGACTAATGTTCTATCATCAGCTGTGCTGGTGGCTGCTGAAGTAGGTAATTCTTACCTTGTTAAGGAAGCATGGGAAGTACCACTTGCTGTTTGACGTAAGGGTGTTTATCAGGAGTAGGATATTCAGTTATTTAATGACTAACATAGTTTCTGCTAAGAAAATTAAATCTCTAGGACATCCTTGATTTATTGTTTCTTTGTTGCTCAGCAATTTTTATGTAAGGCATAGATAGAATTTTACCTTTCACGGCTGTCAGCAGTGTTTTCAACTAAGAAATGGAATATCATTACTGACCTCACTGTGGGCTTTGAAAATTGAGCTACATTTTTGCTCTTCCTTCTGCATTTGGTATTAACAATTATTGAATGTTAGAGATGGAAGGGAACCCAGATTATCTGGTATATGCTTTTCCTCATACAGAGAGGAAACTGGTATCAGGAGTCCAGTGATTTGCCCAGGGTACCAGAGCCAGGACTAGAGACCCTGTCTTCCTCCTGACTCGTGCCATCTCCTCCGAATATCCTGGTCTGGTTTCTCCAGTTCAGTGTTTCAGATTAAATCCCCTGACACAGTAAAACTCATGTGCACTGACTTCTCCTCCGAATATCCTGCTTTGGTTTCTCCAGTTCAGTATTTCAAATTAAATCCCCTGACACAGTGAAACTCATGTGCACCGACTTCTCCTCTGCCCCAGATGGTGTAACCTGGGCTGGCCAGACAGGCACCTCCCCAGTGGGCGTGTCTTCAGACAAAGGTGGCTTTGCTTTGTTGAAGTTACTGATATAAAGATCAGCGCCTGAAACAGATTCTCCGGGATATTACCGGAGACGGAGTGTTTTATTATTAGCCTTTCTTAGGTGGACATTTCCATTTGAATTAAAAGTCCTTTAGGCTGGGCGTGGTGCATGGCTGTAATCTCAGCACCTTGGGAGGCTGAGGCAGGAAGATCACTTGAGGCCAGGCGTTGGAGAGCAGCCTGGGCAAGGTGGCAAGAACCTTGTCTCTACAAAAAAAAAAGCGTAAGAGTCCTTCAGCATTTGAGGGGAAAACGTGTGCTGACGGTAGAATAGTCTAGGATGGGGTTGGGGGAGCATGTGGGACCTTCCCCTGGCCAGCTGACATGGTACTTAACCTCTGTCTTTTTTTTTTGGTTTATGGAGGAGCCATCTCACCTGGCAGCCTCTCCACGTGGGCTGAGCCCTCTTGGGGACAAAGACAGAAGTCCATGTCCCCAGGCCAGGGAAAACCCCACGTGTCAGGGTGTCTGCTGGCTTTGAGTCCTGAGACACGGACTTCACAGGCTGTGCTTCTTGCTTTGGGGCATCTCCTCTTTTCTTATTCTTAACCTAGAAGTTTCCCTGTTTTACCAATTGTTTCTCTTCAAGTTGATAAGCGGGCAGTTCTTGTGATCTAGAATCCAAAGAACCAAAAATAGGCCCAATTTTGCTTCAGTTCCGTGTAATGGCTACTTTTGTTTATACTGGTGTTCCCAGGGCTCTGCGGAATCCTGGATTTATTTATGTATCATCAAAGACTCCCTTATATTCAGAAGAATTTTAGTAATATGTACTTTCTATTGTCCTTTTATTAGAAATTAGTAATCTTAAAATATGTTTGGAAAGGCTTGGCAAGCCAGGAGTGCCCAGTGCCCCAAGTATTCTGTGTAATGAATAAAGAAGAGTTTGAAAACAAAATATTTAAACAAGCACAGCAAACAAGCTTTATCAGGTGTATGAGTTATTGTCTTGGTTTCCCGTGGCTGCTGTAACAAATGACCATGGATTCGTGGCTAAACTGCACATGTTTATTTTCTCAGAGTTCTGAGGTTGGAGGTTGGAAATGGGTTCCGCAGGGCCAGGCTCCTCCAGAGGATCCTCCTTGCCTTTCCAGCTACTGCAGCTGTGGTCCTTGCGTTTCTTGGCTTGAGGCCCTTCATCTTCAAGGCCAGTGGAGTGGCATTTTGCTTTATTCTTTGCATTGCTTTTTCCCGTGAGATCTCCCCCTCCCTCCCTCTTAGAAGGATACCTGTGATTACATTTAGGGTCAACTGGAACAATCCAGGATAATCTCCCATCTCAAGAGCCTGAATCTAATCGTGCTGCACAGTCCCTTTTGCCATGTAAGGGGCATTCACAGGTCCCAGGGATTATGACCCAGGTATCTTTGGAGCACTTGCTCAGCCAACCCCAGCTCCAAATGTAAAGGCATGCACAGTGGAGAGCCGCTTAATTCAGCATCTCCTCACAGGGCCTCCAGTAGGCACCTCCTTCCCTCTCCCATCTGCTCCAGGAAATGTCTGCTCCAGCTTCTCCCCTTCCTTGTTCCGTGGGTTCCCACTCACTGCTCAAGTGAGTCACTGGGACTGTCTTAGAATGCTGGCATTCTCTGACTGGGACATATTCATTTGGTAAACATCTGAGAACTGTGTCAGAGCAGGCAGGCCCCGCATCCCTGCATTCCTGCATCCCCTCCTTCCCAGCCTGACTGCCTGTGGGGCCCTTAGCTGCCCCTTGTCCTCTCACCTGATTCTGCAGATTCTTCTTCTTGAGCAGCAGCTCAGAAAGCGCATCCGCCCTGCGTTTCAAGCCCAGCTACTTCTTAGCTTCACTTCCGTCAACTTCACCTTCCCTGTAGTGCAGTGGGGCATTGATGGTAGGTCTCTCTAAGGGCTTGGTGGACTTTAACATGTGATTCTGTGATTCCGACTTGCCTGAAGATACCCCAGCTCCCCCCTCCCGACTATCCAGCTGCATTCCTGCTCTGGACCCTGCTGGGGCTGCCACACCCACTGCACGGCAGGGCTAGAGAGATGTGCAGCCTGACCCTACCCCTGAGCCTGTCTGTGAAGGTGGAGATGGGCATGCACCCACAGCCCATGAGGCAAGGTGGTGTCCTGAGTGTGCTGTGAGTTCAGGCGCAGGAAGGCCTGGCTTGTTGCAGCAGGATGTCCCCAAGCGTGGTCCAAAATTGGGGCTTTGCCACCTGCAGGGATTTCCTAGAAGGAGATCCAAGGGTCAGGAGGCATTTGAAAGGCTTTCACGCATCTTTGTATGTGGCTTGATTGATCCTTTTTTAAGGCTCTTGCTACCCAGAAATGGGATTCTCTCTCTCATTATAAAAACATTTGGCCATCTTTTCTTGTGTAACTGTCAGTGAATGTATCATTTTGAATATTTTTCAAATTAAAACAGTACATTTAAGCCCGCAAAACACACCAAAGAATACAAACATAGAAGCAAAAGCCAGTGCCCCTTCTGTAATTCCACCCCAAGGAAGAGACTCCAGGAAAGGGTGCCTCCTTCCCACTTTCTCCACGTGCGGGCAGGCGTGCAGGGAGGAGTCCTCACAAAACAGGGCGGCGTTTCACATAGAACTCTTTCATTTTCCACACTTAACATTAGAAACACACAAAATAATGTGGAGGGTCCTAAAAAGAAACAGCCAGAGTTCTGTGTGTGTTTCTGCTTGCCCACTGAACCACAGCATCGGCGGTGACTGTCGGTAAGGCGCGTGAGATGCAGTCGCGTGGAAGCTGTGCTTAAGTGATACTGATTTTAAATCTTGTTCCAGGTCTGCCATCATGGATGTTCTCGCAGAAGCAAATGGCACCTTTGCCTTAAACCTTTTGAAAACGCTGGGTAAAGACAACTCGAAGAATGTGTTTTTCTCACCCATGAGCATGTCCTGTGCCCTGGCCATGGTCTACATGGGGGCAAAGGGAAACACCGCTGCACAGATGGCCCAGGTACAGCTTCAGGGCAGCCATGGTGCTATTAACTGTCAAGTTAGCTGGTCCTCCTTATTCCAAATCCCAAAGGGATCGCTCGAGACGGATGACTGTGCAGTATTGCAGGGTGTGGGTGGCGAGTTTACAGGGAAGGGCATGCCACCCATGCTGGAGCACCCTGGGGACAACACCCTGACTGACCCCCTGGGGTGGAGAGGGGGCGCCCGATTCAGAGGAATGAATGATTTCATCATCACATGGCTTAGCTTGTTCGTGAGTTTGTAGATGGTTGTAAAGTCACAAGGTTCAGGTTGAGTCCTGTGATGATCTTTGGGTACTGTCATCTGCTTGTTGGTTGTTAGGAGTCTTTATTTTCTCATTTACGCGTAAAGCCTTCTTAGAATGGCATTTGTCAGCTAAACATGTTTTCAGTAGCGTTCTGGTTATTTGTTGTTGTGTAACCAGCTCTCCCAGCTTAGCAGCTTTCCTGGTTGTTGAATCTGGGTGGATTGAGTGGTGCTTCTGCACCACTTGGCACTGGGTGGGTCCCTTGTGGGCTGCGTCAGCGGGGGCTCAGCGGGGCGCTGGGCGTCTTCTCCGTGGCCTTCTCCGCTGGGGCCTTCCACATGCTTCCTTCAGCAGCGTTGCCTGGGCTTCCGTAGGCCTGGCGGCTGGGTTCTGAGAGGAAGTGCTCGCAGAAGACAGGCTTGAAACAAGTACCCATCACGTCCCCGCCTGTGTCCTGCTTGCCAAGGCCCCACTGCCAAAGGCAGAGGCATCTCCGCGCCTGAGAGGGGTTGAGAGAGGGTGCGCACACCACAGATGTAGCTGGTCGGGGCCACCCGTGACTGCTGTGGTCTGCCCTCTGGACCTGGTGGTTCCCTGGGAGCCTGAGATCCAGGTGTAGGCAGGGTTGGTTTCTCCTGCAGCCTTTCTCCTCGGCTTGTAGACACTGTTTTCTCCCTGTGTCCTCACATGGTCATCTCTCTGTGTGTGTCTGTGTCCTCATCTCCTCTTTTTATAAGGACATGAGTCCTATTGGATTAAAGCCCAACCTAATGGCCTTATGTTACCTTAATCACCCCTGTAAAGGCCCTCTCTGCAAATGCAGTTCCATCCTGAGACACTGGAGTTGGGACTTCAGTGTGTAAATTTGAGGGGACACATGCAGCCCATCACAGTAGGCGTGGGAGGCACGTGGCCGTCACGGAGCAGTGGCAATTCCCAAGCCCAGCCAGGCATGTATTGTTCACCTCTCAGCCCTGGGTGCAGGGTGTTCCTTGATGAGCCTCCACTGCAGCTTCCCAGAATTGTCCCTTGTCCGTTGCTGCCCTGGCTGTGCTCTGCCCTCTGTGTCCTGGTGTCGCTCTTGGCAGCTCCTTTCCTGTTCTGTAAGAAATGGCCCGTGCTTGCTGCGCTCCCAGCCTACCTCCCACCTGTAGAACGTGGGCACCCAGAGGCCTCCCTGCACTTTGAGCCGTCTCTCTCTTTTAGTCCAAGCTGTTACAAGTGCCTGAAAACCACTGTGGAATTTCTATCAACTTAAAATTCTGCTTCCCTGGACAAAAGCACCCCCACCGCCATCCTGAGTGCTCTTTGTTGGGTTGGGAGTCAGGGTGCCATGGGAGAGCCTGCCAGATGGTCTATAAGATGCTGTCTGAATCTTCTAAGGTTTAACAAAGTGGATTTGGACCTCACCCTTGAGGCCAGTGTCTGGGATTTGATCTTTGCCCTGAGGCCATCTCTTTTAGAATCTTTTGCCAGCTGGAAAGGCTGGGAAGAAGAAACATTTTTATTCTCCACCCAGTACATCCTGGATTGGAAATAGTTCCTTTAAATTCTGCTTGAAAATGGAACAGTTCCTTCATCTTTCTCTTCCCATGTGTTACCCTAGGCAGCAAAAAGAAGCCAGCTTCCTCCTGGACCCCTTAGCCAGATGCAGGAGTTCCCGGGGGAGGCACTCCATCCTCCCTGTCACTGAGGGTGACCTTCTTTCCACTTCTTCAGCTGGTACACACACAGCCCCCTTTCTCCAGCCCCCAGGAGTCATTTCGTCCTGTCCGTCCAGCCTCTGCCAGCTGCCTGGGTCCAAGGCCAAGTCCACATGTTTTAGGTTTTGGTCATGGCAGAATTCCACTTCTGGATGGCTGCATGTGTCAGCTGTTGCCACAAAACAAACCATCCCAAACTTAGTGGCTGGAAATAACAATGATTGATTATTTCTCAGATTCCGTGGCCTGAGCAGGCAGGACTGCTCCCAGGAAGCAGTGCAGGTCACTCATGCAGCTGTTTCAGTGGACACCTGGCCCGGAAGGTTCAAGAAGGCCTCTCTCACACCTGAAACCTCGATTTTTTTTTTTTTTTGAGACAGAGTTTTGCTCTTGTTGCCCAGGCTGGAGCACAATGGCGCGATGTCGGCTCACTGCAACCTCCGCCTCCCGGGTTCAAGTGATTCTCCTGCCTCAGCCTCCCGAGTATCTGGGATTACAGGCATGCACCACCACGCCAGGCTAATTTTGTATTTTTAGTAGAGATGGGGTTTCTCCACGTTGGTCAGGCTGGTCTCAAATTCCTGACCTCAGGTGATGCACTCGCCTCGGCCTCCCAAAGTGCTGGGATTGCAGGTGTGAGCCACCACGCCCGGCTAGAGGCCTCAGTTCTTCAAGCAACTCTCTCTACAGGTGATGGCACCTTCTCCAGGGCTTTCCATGTGGCCTTCGGCAGGATAGCCTGGACTTCCTTCTGTCATGGTGGCCAGGGTACAAGAGAGTGAACATGGCAGCTGTCAGGCCTTTTAAAAAGGGCCTAGGCCTGGAACAGCATCACTTCTACTGAATTCTACCTACTGTATCATTAGTCAGAGCCAGTGACACGGGCATTCCAGAGCCACGGGCAGGAGGGAGTCTGCCCCTTCTGATGTCAGGGGCGGCCTGTGTTTGTATAGACAGGAGGTCTGGTTGGCACCCTTGTTTGCCACCAGACTCCAAGTACTGAGCATCAGGAGCCTGGGTTTGTGGAGGGCGTTGCAGCTCATGCCAGCACAGACAGGGTACAGGGAGGGGCTTTCAAGACCCTTCTGGCCTTTAATCAGATGGATCTTTTTTTTTTTTTGAGACGGAGTCTCACTCTGTCGCCAGGCTAGAGTGCAGTGGCACGATCTCAGCTCACTGCAACCTCCGCCTCCCGGGTTCAAGCGATTCTCTTTCCTCAGCTTCCCGAGTAGCTGGGTTACAGGTACGCACCACCAGGCCCAGCTCATTTTTGTGTGTTTAGTAGAGATGGGGTTTTGCCATGTTGGCCAGGCTGATCTCGAACTCCTGACCTCAGGTGATCCTCCCGCCTTGGCCTCCCAAAGTGCTGGGATTATAGGCGTGAGCTGCTGCGCCCAGCCTCGGATAGATCTTTTAAGCAGTAATAAGGGTCTGGATGGTTGTTAGGCTGAGTTTGGGGTTGCCCCATTTCCTGAAGTCAGAGCATACAGGAATGATTTGTTTTCATTCTGTTTTTGATTTCAGATACTTTCTTTCAATAAAAGTGGCGGTGGTGGAGACATCCACCAGGGCTTCCAGTCTCTTCTCACCGAAGTGAACAAGACTGGCACGCAGTACTTGCTTAGGATGGCCAACAGGCTCTTTGGGGAAAAGTCTTGTGATTTCCTCTCAGTAAGTCATACTTGCTCTTATTCACTAAAGAAATAAAGGTGGCCAGGTAGTGGGGGCTGGGGCCCAGCAGGAAGCGTGTGGCTCTAAATGCCATTATGCCATACATAGGCTTTTGTAATTTCTTTTCACCTGCCAATATGTTTTAAATTCTCTGCATTTCAATAAGGTGGATCTACTTCACGCTTTTGAAGTGTCTTGTCAGCATCTTGTCAGGCAGCTCCTTGATGCATGGCTGCTCCCTTAAAGGATCCAGCAGTTGGTGAAGTTCGTTTGATATTCAGAGACTGATTCAACTTAGTGTTTTTTGCTTTTTTTTTTTTGTTTTTTTTTTTTTGAGACAGAATCTCGCTCTGTCGCCCAGGCTGGAGTGTGGTGGCCTGATCTCGGCTTACTGCAACCTCCGCCTTCTGGGTTCAAGTGATTCTCCTGCCTCAGCCTCCCAAGTAGCTGGGATTACAGGTGCATGCCACCATACATGGCTAATTTTTGTATTTTTAGTAGAGACGGGCTTTCGCCATGTTGGCCAGGCTGGTCTCGAACTCCTGAGCTCACACGATCCACCCGCCTCGGCCCCCCAAAGTGCTGGGATTACAAGTGTAAGCCACAGTACCTGACCTTGACTTAGTTTTTAAGCTAGGATTAAATATAGCTAAAGCTAGGAAGTTGTAGTTTAGGTTAAGTCCTCATATTTATTTGTAAATTATGTATGTCAATCATAAAATTATAGATTTTCTGACTTGGTGCAATGAAGAAGTAGGCCGTTGGTGTTCATCATTTTTGTAGCCAGGCAGTTATGTCACTCTGTCTATCCTAGTCTTTTAGAGATTCCTGCCAAAAATTCTACCAAGCAGAGATGGAGGAGCTTGACTTTATCAGCGCCGTAGAGAAGTCCAGAAAACACATAAACACCTGGGTAGCTGAAAAGACAGAAGGTGAAAATGTATTGTTATTCTACTTTTGTAATAACCTCTTAATCCATTTTATTGTCAGTTCCTTCACAAGACTGTCAATTGTAAACAGGAATGATTTTTTTTTCTCTGAATAACTGCAAACTTAAAAAATCTGCTTCTGAAATCAGTTGCCATTATTTGACATTTTGGAAATGCTCAATGTGTTCTGTTCTCTCTGATTTCTCCCTGTTTCCTTGGTGTACCCGTGATGCCTTTCAGTGTTTGGTATACCTCTTCTGGATCAATCCACGTTTTAATTTTGAGGAGGGGGTTAGTGTGTTAATGTTAATATAGTTTTTCCTTTCACAAGTAACATAAAAAATTCGCAGTGTGGATCTCAAGCTGCCTCCCTCTTGGGTAGCACAGTCTACAGTTGCCATGCATTGCTGTGGGACACTGGGTCACGCCCTGGTCTATCTGTGGTTCTTAATTTAAACTTTTTTTTTTTTTTTTTTTGAGACAAGGTCTCCCTCTGTCACCTAGGCTGGAATGCAGTGACACAATCACAATTCACTGCAGCCTCAATTTTCTTTTTTTTTCTTTGAGATGGAGTTTTGCTCTTATTGCCCAGGCTGGAGTGCAATGGTGCAATCTTGGCTCATTGCAACCTCTGCCTCCCAGGTTCAAGTGATTCTCCTATCTCAACCTCCCAAGTAGTTGGGATCACAGGCACGTGCCACCATGCCCTGCTAATTTTTGTATTTTTTAGTAGAGACAGGTTTTCACCATGTTGGCCAGGATGATCTCAATCTCTTGACCTCGTGATCCACCCGCCTTGGCCTCCCAAAGTGCTGGGATTACAGCATCAATTCTTGTGCTCAAGCGGTCCTCCTGCTTCAGTCTCCCAAGTAATTGGGACTACAGGTAGCACCACCATGCCCAGCTAATTTTAATAAATTTTTTTTTTAAGAGACAAGGCCTCACTATGTTGTCCAGGTTGGTCTCAAACTCCTGGCCTCAAGTGATCCTCACACCTCAGCCTCCCAAACTGCTGGAATTATAGGTGTGAGCCACTGTGTCTGGCCTAACTGTTCTTTAAGCTTGTAAAGAACATCTTCTGACTGCCCACCTTTTTGATAATCCTTTAAGTTCTTGTCTTTAAGTCATAGGCACCCATGATTGCTTCTTATCTCATGTGTTAGGAACTCATCCTGCATAATTAACGCATATTTGTTCACTTTGTGTGTTTTATTCAATTGATGATGTTTTTCGTACCAGAAGATTTTGTTGTTTTGCTTTAAGGACACGTATCCCTTTATATTTGGGGGACAGTGGAACTCTCTATCCGTGCACTTGACTGCTGAAGGAGAAGGCCCCAGCCGATTCCTGATGTGTCGGGGATCCGCAGCCGCCCCTATCTAATGCGGTCTTGAATTCTTCCGCTCAGGTAAAATTGCGGAGTTGCTCTCTCCGGGCTCAGTGGATCCATTGACAAGGCTGGTTCTGGTGAATGCTGTCTATTTCAGAGGAAACTGGGATGAACAGTTTGACAAGGAGAACACCGAGGAGAGACTGTTTAAAGTCAGCAAGGCGAGTAAGGGGCCGTGACAGGAGCAGCGCCTGTGTTCACACGAGCGTCTCCGGCTCGGGGCCTCCCGCGTCTGCAGCCGTGGGGCCTTTCTGTCCCTGCCCCTCCTGCTTGACATCCATTGGGTGGCCTCGTGTCCCTGGGCGCCTGGCATCCGCCCTGCCACCTACAGGGCAAGTCTGAAGCTGCAGCCCTCAGGCTCGATCAAGGTCTTAAAGCTCAGACTCCAGATATGGCGTGCCATCTTCTAGCGGACATTTCCTCCTTTTCTCTAGCTTCATTCCCATCAGGACCTACCCACTCCTTTCTTTCTGGCGGCGTCCCGGGAAGCCCCGCTACCGCGCCTCCTGCTGGCCTCCGTGCCACACTGCAGGAGCGGAACAACTCAGCCTGCTGAATTGAGGCTGAGCAGGGAGGACTCTCTGACAAGTGCCAGACACGTAGCTGGTGCTTAGTAAATGCTGAACCGATGAGTGATATTCAGTCCTCTCTTGATAGTAAGGATAAGTACAGATTTTTGTTTTAAAACAACCAAACCAAACATGTAGATAGACACTGAGATTAACCACCTCCAGCGTGGAAGATGTCATTTGCTGATGGCCCTTTATCTTCCTCTCACTGAATCTTCTTTATTGTCTCTTGTTTTGTTTTTCTTTAACTATAGAAATTTTTGAACATAGACAAAGTAAACAGAATAGATTAATTACAGTGTATTCTTGATCATTGACCATAGTTAGATCTTCCAGGCTAACTTGAACTTGAGCCTTCAGTTTTTCAAGAAATTTATTTTCATTGTCTGTTCTCCTCGCAATTCAGAAAGAATTATTTTCTTTGAAGCTTTATTCTGAAATGAACTGTGCTATTTTCCCCTGGCAAAATAATTTCTCTCTTTAAAATTTAATGATTAACAAGATGTACAAGGGCTTTGACTACAGATAACAGAAACCCCGGTTCACCATGGTTTATCTCCTAGGAGCTCATCTCCCCTGCTAGGAGGTCTGGAGGCAGGTGAGACCTGGGCTGGTCTGGCACTGGGGCGATGATCCCAGGGAGGCGGCTCCACCATTCTCAGCACGTCGCCTTCTTCCTCATGGTCACAAGATGGCTGAGCTGGCTTCAGCAGTCCCGGTGGCAGGGAGGGGGAGGAACAAGGGAGGGGAGGGGAGCCTAAACCTTCCCCTTAGTGGTTCTGCGTTTCAGAAAGGGAAAGCTGCTTTCTATATGGTGTAGGCCAGAACTATAGGTCTTGTGGGTTTGGGGAGATGTGGAATCCCGTCATGCTTTCTGAGTTCTGCAGTGAAGAAGGGTGAAGGAAGGGGCTGCAGTATTGAGCGTACCAGCCTGAGGCCAGAGGTGTACCTCCAAGGGCACAGATTTTGAGTTGATACAGATTCTTATTTTAATTTCATTACCTTCTATATAAACTGGAACTTGTCTATATAATTGTGTATTTAGTGAATCATTCAGTCACTAAGGTTAGATCTTTTTATATTGCAAGATTGGAGGCTTTGGACCCTGAAGGGGTGCAGGGAGGAATTACTGAAGGCAGGGGTCAGCAAACTTCAGCCTACAGCAAAGCCAGCCCACCACCTAATTTTTTTTAAAGGTTTACTGAAACACAGCCATGCTTATTTTTTTTTTTTATTTTTTATTTTTTCCAAGACAGAGTTTCTCTCTTGTTGCCCAGGCTGGAGTGCAGTGGTGCCATCTCGGAACACTGCAGCCTCCGCCTCCCGGGTTCAGGTGATTCTCCTGCCGTGGCCTCTTGAGTAGCTGGGATTACAGGTGTGTGCCACTATGCCCGGCTAATTTTTGCATTTTTAGTAGAGACGGGGTTTCACCATGTTGGTCAGGTTGGTCTCGAACTCCTGACCTCAGGTGATCCACCTGCCCGGGCCTCCCACAGTGCTGGGATTACAGGCGTGAGCCACCACGCCTGGCCCATGCTTATTTACTTACTTATTTCATCCTGTAACAACAGCTGAGTCGTTGTGACGGAGATGGTACATGTAGCCACAAACCGGAAAATAGTTCCTGTCTGGTCAGTTATGGAAGAAACATGCCTACTGCTGGCCAAGGAAATGAGTGGGGCAGCCGAGGCCCAGGAGACTGCTCTAGCCAAAGGCTAAGGGCCAGCCCAGGCGAGCCTCTACCACGTGAAAGCAGAAAGCTGCCGCCGCAGTGTATTTTATTTATTCCATTTAACACAGAAGAATGTGCTACACCAGAGACTGGGGACCATACGGCGTCTTTGACTGTGCCTATTGCAGGGTATTTACTCAACTCACAGGAGCAGCTCCGAGTCAGGAACTGAGGGGGATTGTTGGATGGGGTGTGGTTCCTGGCCTCCAGTCTTTCTCATTGGCTGGCTGGGGTTGGTGACCAGTGCAGTTTTTTCTGGTGAGATGTGTAAATGTTGCCTGGCCTTTTTAGCATCCCAGCTCATTAATTCGTTTATGCATTTATCATTTATTCAGCAGAGATTGACTGAGTGCCTTTTTTTTTTTTTTTTTGAGATGGAGTCTCGGTCTGTCTCCCAGGCTGGAGTGCAGCGGTGCAATCTTGGGTCACTGCAACCTCTGCCTCCCGGGTTCAAGTGATTCTCCTACCTCAGCCTCCCGAGTAGCTGGGATTACAGGAGCGCACCACCATGCCCAGCTAATTTTTCTATTTTTAGTAGAGGTGGGGTTTCACCATGTTGGCCAGGCTGGTCTCGATTTCCTGACCTCAGGTGATCCGTCTGCCTCAGCCTCCCAAAATGGTGGGATTACAGGCATGAGCCACCATGCCTAACCTGACTGAGTGTCTTCTATGTATCAGGCATGGTGCTAGGTATTTTTCAGCCATGCACAAAACAAGCAAAGCATGCTTGCCCTGGTGAAGCTTATGTTTTCTTGGGGGAGAGACAGCAAGCATAAATAAGAAAATAGGAGCATATTAGACAGTGGTAAATGGTACAGAGACATACCAAGGGAGGGGATAGGAATCTGTGTTTGGGGTGGGAGTGTAGGGTCAGGTAAGATCTATCAAGGACAGCTTCTCTGCCAAGGTGGTTTTTGAACAAAGACCGTAAAGAGGCAGAAGTTCACTCTCCAGGTTCTGGAGGACAAGCTTACTGCGTAGAGATGAGATGAACTGGGTTTGCTGGCAGTGCAGTGAGGAGGCCTCTGTGACTGTAGCAGATAAGCAAAGGGAGAGGGAACTGGGGACGAGCTCTTATCACAATTCCAGGCTTTTTAGGGACTTTCAGCTCCTGCTCCGAGTAAATGGGGAGCCAGGGAAGGGTGTCCAGCCAAAGAACAATGTGATCTGCCTTAGGTTCTACCGGGCCCCTCTGGCCACTGTGCTGGGAACAATCACAATCATATTATCACAATATTCCAGGGCTAGGCTGGTAGCAGCAGAGGCAGAAGGAACAGGTCAGATTTTGTTATATTCTCGAGGTAGAGCCAATATAATTTGCCAGTGAGTCAGACACAGGGTGTGAGAGAAAGACAGGAGTCAGGGGCACTCCAGGGCTTTTGACCACTGGACAGTGGCACTGCCCTCAGCTGAGATGGGCAGAGTTGCAGTAGACAGAGCCGACTTGGAGGATCTACGGAGTGCCGCATTACAGGTGGCGCTGGGAGTTTCTTTTATGTCCAAACATAGGTGCAGGTGGGCAGTAAAATGCAGGAGGCCCAAGGACAGGGCAGAGGCCCAGGCGGGAGGTAAATTTGGTGTGATATTGTGTTTAAAGCCATGAGACTGAATGCGATCAATGAGAGGAAAGACACGTTGGGTTTGGGCCCTGGGCACCCCAGTTTCTGGAGGTTGAGGTAATGAAGATGGCAGAGCAGGCGCTGCCGGGTGTTCTGGAAGCTGGGGAGAAACCGAGCTGCGTTTCTCCCTGCAGAGAGTGGCCAGCTCCGACACATTTGTCCCATGTGTCAGTGGGGTCTTGTTTCAACTTGATGTTTATCTGTTTTCTTTGTAGAATGAGGAGAAACCTGTGCAAATGATGTTTAAGCAATCTACTTTTAAGAAGACCTATATAGGAGAAATATTTACCCAAATCTTGGTGCTTCCATATGTTGGCAAGGAACTGAATATGATCATCATGCTTCCGGACGAGACCACTGACTTGAGAACGGTAACAGCTAAGCTGTGAGCGAGGCGTGCTAGCAAGGAGCCACTCGGGGGTGTCTGCTGTGGCTGCTGTCCCTACTTTGCGGTCAGCCGTTTAACACTGGAGCGCTGCTGACCATAGCCACGCTGCCACTGGTGTCTGGCATCCACAGCATAGCACAGGGCCCTGCTGGGCAGCAGCACCCTGGGTCTTAAAGTCTTCAACTGTCTCCCTCTAGGTGGAGAAAGAACTCACTTACGAGAAGTTCGTAGAATGGACGAGGCTGGACATGATGGATGAAGAGGAGGTGGAAGTGTCCCTCCCGCGGTTTAAACTAGAGGAAAGCTACGACATGGAGAGTGTCCTGCGCAACCTGGGCATGACTGATGCCTTCGAGCTGGGCAAGGCAGACTTCTCTGGAATGTCCCAGACAGACCTGTCTCTGTCCAAGGTCGTGCACAAGTCTTTTGTGGAGGTCAATGAGGAAGGCACGGAGGCTGCAGCCGCCACAGCTGCCATCATGATGATGCGGTGTGCCAGATTCGTCCCCCGCTTCTGCGCCGACCACCCCTTCCTTTTCTTCATCCAGCACAGCAAGACCAACGGGATTCTCTTCTGCGGCCGCTTTTCCTCTCCGTGAGGACAGGGCAGTCTTGGTGTGCAGCCCCTCTCCTCTCTGTCCCCTGACACTCCACAGTGTGCCTGCAACCCAAGTGGCCTTATCCGTGCAGTGGTGGCAGTTCAGAAATAAAGGGCCCATTTGTGGGATGCCGCATTCACTCCGTGTGTTTGTGTGTCTGCACGGGAGATGTTTCCTAGGATCTGAAATTGCTGCTCTGGGTCTGGGTTATGTTAGTAGGGGCGGCAATGACCACCTAGCTCACCCTTGCTTGGGGGAGGTGTTGCCCACCCCCCACAGCCATGGGGACCCCACGACTTCATTGTGGGCAGACAGCTGCCCTTGAGGTCGGTGGTGTGACTCTTCCTTGGCACAGGAAGATACATGGTGCTTCTCTGTCTCCTCTACTCAGTAGTGGAGTCTCATCCCACTTCTAGGGAGAGAATGGGGTGAAATGGGGTGCTACAGGGAGGTGCGGGAAGCTCAATTCTAAAACTACCGCAAGCTCTCCGGAAGCCTGCATGGAGGTGGGGGGAGCAGGTGAACCAGATGAGGGTGACAGCAGTCCCCTGCCCTGTGGGTGTTTCTGCTTCCCTGAGGACTGGTGGATCACATGCTTGTTCACACACACACTGCCCACTTCCAAAAATGTCAAATGATGGTAGTGTTCCCTTTATAGTAACGGAGTTTACGGCGACTTCACGAGTCAGCACCAGGTGCCTTTCTGTTTCACTGAAGTATTGCAGACAGAAAAGACAGCTAAGGTTTCTGGGGCCATTTGTGTTACTTGCTGGAAATGTGATCCCTGCACCCAGCCATCCAGGAGCAGAAGGACAGGTCAGGCTCAGATGGAGCCACACAATGTTCCAGGGAGGCAGAAAGGACTTCTTTTGCAGGCAGTGGGAACCTGGCCTCTCCTCCTTTACCTGGTGCAACTGTGCTCTCATATGCTCTCACTCTTCCTGGTTCTCTTTCCCCTTAGTGTCCAGGCTGGGGTGACAGATGGGACTCAGGAGCAGCAGGAGATGTGGCAAGGATGAGTGGGAGAGCTGGGGAAAGAAGGGCCAGATAGTGCTGGTTTTGTCCCTCATACTCCCTGCTCTGCACAGCATTCTTGTTTGTTTGTTTGTTTTTGAGATGGAGTCTCACTCTGTCACCCAGGCTGGAGTGCAGTGGCACGATCTCGGCTCACTGCAAGCTCCACCTCCCAGGTTCAAGCCATTCTCCTGCCTCAGCCTCCCGAGTAGAGTAGCTGGGACTACAGGCATGCACCACCATGCCCAGATAATTTTTGCATTTTTAGTAGAGACAAGGTTTCCCAATGTTGGCCAGGCTGGTCTCAAATTCCTGACCTCAGCTGATCCGGCCTGCCTCGGCCTCCCAAAGTGCTGGGATTACAGGTGTGAGCCACTGCGTCCGGCCTCAGCTAATCTTTTGTATTTTTAGTAGAGACGGTTTCGCTATGTTGGCCAGGCTGGTCTTGAACTCCTGACCTCGTGATCTGCCCACCTTGGCCTCCCAAAGTGCTGGGATTATAAGCATGAGCCACCATGCCCAGCCCATTCCTGGTTTGTTGTTGTTGTTTTTGAGATGGAGTCTTGCTCTGTCGCCCAGGCTGGAGTGCAGTGGTGCGATCTCAGCTCACTGCAAGCTCCACCTCCCAGGTTCACACCATTCTCCTGCCTCAGCCTCTCCAGTAGCTGTGAATACAGGCGCCTGCCACCACGCTTGGCTAATTTTTTGTATTTTTAGTAGAGTCGGGGTTTCACCGTGTTAGCCAGGATGGTTTCAATCTCATGACCTCGTCATCCACCCGCCTCGGCCTCCCAAAGTGCTGGGATTACAGGCGTGAGCCACTGTGCCCGGCCCATTCCTGGTATTTTTTAAAGAACGGGGACAAGGAGACTTGGAACAAGGGCTCCGAGGGTGGGGCAGGATCCGTTTATGTGATGCTTCCAGCATCACGGAGAGGGCCTCTGCACTGCAGCTGGCAGCTGCTGCCCTGTGTCCAGTTCTTGGGCAGAGGCACGGGGTCCACATCCTTGCTTAGGGGCAGGGATGGGGGCAGGGAGTGGGGTACGTGGAATAGTCTCTAACCATCCAGGTATCATGGTATCATTCCCTTTCCCCAGGATAAGGATGGTATCACTAGTGAGTTAAGATGAACATTCAGGGTCCTATGTGTTACCTCTGACAGGGGAAGAGAACAACCAACACCACACATCCCGCTCTGGAAGGCTCCCTGGTCCCCACTGAGTTACCGCCCCTTAGCTGTCTGTGACATCACCTTTGAAGGGTTATCTGTCACTCTTAATTTGATTGCAATACAGTAAAAGGCACAACCATCTGAGTAATGCCTCTACATCTTTTAGGAAATGGCACAAGAAGACATTGGGGGGATTTTTGTTTGATTTTTAAATTTTCCATTGTGAACATGTATTCTTGTGTAATCAGAAAAATATTTTATTTATTTATTTATTTAGAGACAGAGTCTCGCTTCATCATGTGGGCTGGAGTGCCGTGATTCAATCTCGGCTCACTGCAGCCTCTGCCTCCTGGGTTCAAGCGATTCTCATGCCTCAACCTCCCCAGTAGCTGGGGTTACAGGCATGCACCACGACGCCCGGCTAATTTTTGTATTTTTTTTAGTAGCGATGGGGTTTTGCCCTGTTGGCCAGGCTGGTCTAAAACTCCTGACCTCAAATGATCCTCCCATGTCGGCCTCCCAAAGTTCTGGGATTACAGGCATGAGCCACCGTGCCGGCCAGAAAAATATTTTTAAACTGTGTACAGGGAAGTAAGGGTTTCTATTATATGCAAATCCTGTGGGATTGTTTGTGCCAGGGGAGATCTGTTCTTTCTCTGCAACTCACTGTATCCTCACCTGCTCTTCCTCATATGGCTCCCACCCTTACCCGTCTCTCCCCTGGGTTCATGCTGTTCTTCTCATTTCGATTCACTCTCCCTGAAAGGACTCAGCCTTCGCCAGTCTGTGCAGGCATGGTTCTGGGCTGGATGGCCCTCTGAGCTCGGCCAGGCGGCTGACCGTGGTCATGCAGATGGTGGCAGGATCCTTGGGTGCACTCATCTTCAATAAGGGCCTTGGACCTCCTAGTGTTCCTCCTGAAGCTGCGGTGGATAGTCTCGGGGAAGGAGAATGGAATCACTGGCTCAGGCCCGCCTAGATTGCGCACGCACTGGGCCTTGGTTCTATTCACTCCTGCACTGAAACCGTTTGCATCTGGGTGAACAGGGCACACATCCAGTTCCCACATGGATACTGCATGTGGCTCTCAGGGCACAAATCATTCCAATCTTAACAGATGCAAGAAATAAAAGGGAGGAAACACTCTTTAGTTCACTGCATATTGACGAGCACAACCTTGGTAAGGTTGTGTTTGGAAATTATGTATGGGAAGGGAATTATGTATGGGAAGGGAATTAAGTATGGGAAGGGAATTATGTATGGGAAGGGAATTATGTATGGGAAGGGAATTATGTATGGGAAGGGAATTAAGTATGGGAAGGGAATTATGTATGGGAAGGGAATTATGTTATGGGAAGGGAATTATGTATGGGAAGGGAATTATGTATGGGAAGTAAGCTTAACCCAGGAATATGAGGTGGATGCAGCATGATAAAATGCATGCCATCTGTTCCATTATAGAATAAAGCAGCAAGATCGTAGGGTCATATCCCTTGATGCAGAAATAGCTGTCTCATTCTAAAGGAGAACACGGCAGCTGATAGACACAAGCCACAGTCCCATTAATTGATAGGGTTGTTTTTTCAGTCAGCCCTGCCAAATGCAAAGGCTTTACATACACTGAATAAAATTACATTTCCAAAGCAACCTTTTGAGGTGGATATCAGCTCTATTATTGTTGTTTTTAATCTGTAGACAAAAGTTTGGATGAATTTTTTTTATCCTTACAAAAGTGTTCCCAGTCTAACTAATTAACCTATTCTCTTAGTCATTTAGATACTTTTACAGAATCAAGAGTAATTATGTTACCATTATTCTTGAATTTCACAACTATAAAATTATACACTTGGGACAGAAAACTATACCTTAAAGAGAAGAATAAATGAAACAGCGAAATTTGATTTCACTTTTCTGTGTCATTTTTGGAGACTTTCTGGAAGGACAGGCCAGCCATTAGGCCAGTAAGCGTGTCTATTCTGACCATTTCATCTGGCGAGGCACACAAGTTCAAGTTCAGTTTTTGGCAAGCTTGAAAACACAGTAACTTTATGTATGTTTCTAGTAAAATACCCTCTTTTTTTTTTTTTTTTTTTTTTTTTTTTTGAGATGGACTCTCACTCTGTCACCCAGGCTGGAATGCAGTGGTGCAACCTCAGCTCACTGCAACCTCCACCTCCCAGGTTCAAGTGATGCTTGTGCCTCAGCCTCCTACGTAGCTGGGATTACAGGCCTGGGCCACCACACCTGGCTAATTTTTGTATTGTTTTTGTAGAGACAGGGTTTCGCCATGTTGGCCAGGCTAGTCTCAAACTCCTTGCCTCAAGTGATCCACCCGCCTTGGACTACCAAGGTGCTGGGATTACAGGAGTGAGCCACTGCGCCTGGCCAATTTCCCCTTTCTTACTTAAAACCCAGAACCTCCTAATTTAGCTTTTAAAATACACCCTCTTGATGGTCAAGGGCAGCTGGGGATTTAGCTCCTCAGGCCCTCCTATGCTTGCTCCCCAGCCCCTGTCTGTCTGCACAGGGCAGCCAGATGCACGCTCATGTGGCTTTGCTAAAAGGTGATGGGCGGCAAAGGGAAATTAAAGTTGAAAGTAAGTGCTATGGCTTCTCAGTAAACTTGGAGGTCATTTAAAATACCCTTTTTAGAAATAACACTTCCTTTCCCCCTTATTCTTAGAGGAAACAGACAAGCGCTCAGCGGAAATCTGATTACAGAACAACTGCATTTTTTTTCTGAAAACATAGTCAGAACTTGTGTTTTTTTCAGTATGCGAACCCTGTCACGGGTGAGCAGCACCTACCAGGGCCATTGGTGCTGGGGTAAAAGAATTTCCCAAGATAGCTGTAGGTAAAGAAAGGCAGATTTATTAGAGAAAGTATGATGTACCTCGTTAAGGTCGAAATGGGCAGAATCAGCAAGAGAGGAGTTCAGTGCAAGGGAACAAAGGCTTGCTGAGGGTTTCAGAGGATGGTTCTCGGCTGATTGAGAACGCCAAGGCAGTAGGGAGCTCGCTTGCATTCTTCTGTCAGCAGAGGTGTTTGATGATAAGTTGAAGTGTTTGATGATAAGCAGGAAGTTTGTGAGTTACGTACATTATTTGCACAGGTGGGCCATATGTCTTGGGCCATAAAGAAAAGCGAACCTATAGCTTATCTGCTTTCTCTCTTTGCTTTCCCCTGGTCCTGCCAGCCTCACTCCTTTTTCCTCATTAGGAGTCCACAAACCCTACATGGCACCTACACAGTAGTTACCAGTTATTGAAGGTTTCATTTTCCAGTGTTTCAGTTACCCATGGTCCAAAAATAGGTGAGTACAGCACTGTGGGTGTGAGAGAGAGAGAGGGAGAGAGAGAGATCATATTTACATAACTTTTTTTGAGACGGAGTTTCGCTCTTGTCCCCCAGGCTGCAGTGCAGCGTGATCTTGGCTCACTGCAACTTCCACCTCCCTGGTTCAAGAGATTCTCCTGCCTCAGCCTCCTGAGTAGTTAGGATTACAGGGGTGCACCACCACGCCCGGCTAATTTTTGTATTTTTAGTAGAGATGGGGTTTTACCATGTTGACCAGGCTGGTCTCAAACTCCTGACCTCAAGTGATCTGCCGGCCTCAGCCTCCCAAAGTGCTAGGATTACAGGCGTGAGCCACCGCGCCTGGCCTATATTTACGTAACTTTTATTACAGTATGTTATTGTAAACCAAAAATAAAATACTTTTTTTTTTTTTTTTTGAGATGGAGCTTAACTCTTATTGCCCAGGCTGCAGTGCAACGGCGCGATCTCGGCTCACCGCAATCTCCGCCTCCTGGGTTCAAGCGATTCTCCTGCCTCAGCCTTCCGAGTAGCTGGGATTACAGGCATGCGCCACCACGCCCAGATAATTTTGTATTTTTAGTAGAGACAGGGTTTCTCTGTGTTGGTCAGGCTGGTCTCGAACTCCCGACCTCAGGTGATCCGCCCGCCTCAGCGTCCCAAAGCGCTGGGATTATAGGCATGAACCACCAAGCCTGGCCCAAAAATAAAATTCTAAGCCCCCCAACCAAATGGACCCCTCCTCTCAGCCAAAGGCATTCGAAAGTAAACCTGAAACACTAGTTCAGGCCACGATGTGAAATAGGGAGGAGGGGCTCAGACATGCCTCATTCTACCTTCCTCCCGTTGGAATTCAGGCACAGCTGACCAGCATTACATTAAAACAGACCTTAACGCTGACAAAACAGACTCTATCTAGCAATTAGCTACCAACATGACAGACAACGGGCCCTGAAAGAAATTGAAGTATTTTACCCCAAAACATATTTCTTTGACATATTTTGAAATGGCCCTGCAAAGCTGCCTCTTGTGGGGAAAATCTACATTTTTGTAGATAATCTCCTTCCCTTTCCGGGTCTTTCTCCTGATCCAGGAGAGTCTGAAAAGAGACATTTACAATAGATGCTCTCTGAAGCCTGCTCGCTTCATCTGCAGAATAAGACCCTTGGTCTCCACAACACCTTATCTTAACCCACACACTCCCTTCTATTGATTTCAGGTCTTTAGATGAACTTTCAACCAGAAAATCTTGGAATCCACCTGCGACCCAGAAGCTCCCCCCTGACCACCACCACCTTGGGCACGTGTTCTCAGGATCTCCAGGGGCTGTGTCAGAGGCCACGGTCACTCACATTTGGCTCAGAACAAATCTCTTCAAATACTTTACAGAGTTTGACAGTATTTCAATTTTATTGCATATATTATATTGCATATGAGTTTAACTCATATTTTGAGTTTTTAATCTCTTACTGTACCTAATTTATAAACTTTATTATATGTATAGAAAAAAACAGTATATATAGGATTCAGTACTATCCATAGTTTCAGGCATCCACTGGAGATCTCTGAACATATCCCTTGCAGGTAAGGGGGGAAGCTGCTGTGTACTTCTATATGTGTCGCATGTGAAGCGTGGCCAAAATGGGAAATCTGAAAATGAAGGGGGAAAATGAACATAATTAGGGCTTTGTTTACTTTCAGAAATGGGGTGTTATGTTGCCCAGGCTGGCCTCAAATTCCTGGACTCCAGCAATCTACCCCACCTCAGCCTCCCACGCAGCTGGGATTACTGGCATGTACCCCCACACCCAACATGGGTGGCTTATATCTTTTTAAGTTTACTTATTGTAAGTCATGTTGGCTACAATTAAAAATATATATTATATACTTGAAAATGAGTAAGATTCAAAATGTTCTTGTAAACTGTGTGTCTTCCCCTATCTGAAGGAATTTGGGAGGAGCAACCTTGCAAGAACCTTGGTCTTTTTACACCCAGAAATTGGTTTTTGGTTTCACTGACTTCAAGAATAAAACCGCAAACCCTCAGTGAATACTATAGCTCTTAAGGCGGCGCGCCTGGAGTTGTTCGTTCACTCTCACTGGGCTCGTCGTCTCACCCACTATAGAAATGAAATTGCAACTTTCGCAGTGAGTGTTCCGTTCCTCCTAATGGGCTCGTCGTCTCACCCACTTCAGAAATGAAGTTGCAACTTTCACAGAGTCGTCTCACCTACTTCAGAAATGAAGTTGCAACTTTCACAGATGAGTGTTTCGTTCCTCCTGCCGGGCTCGTCATCTCACCCACTTCAGAAATAAAGTGACAATTTTCGCAGTGAGCGCTACAGCTCATAAAGGCAACGCAGACGCCAAATGCAAACGAACAAACCTTATCACAGCACAGAAAACCCCAACGGGTTACCACTACAAGCTCCGGCAGCCTGCTTTTATTCTTTTATCTGGCCCCACCCACATCCTGCTGATTGGTAGAACCAAGTGGTCTGTTTTGACAGGGCGCTGATTGGTGCGTTTACAATCCCTGAGCTAGACATAAAGGTTCTCCAAGGCCCCACCAGAGTAGCTAGATATAGAGTGTCAATTGGTGCATTCACTAAACCTTGAGCTAGATGCAGGATGCTGATTGGTGTGTTTACAAACCTTGAGCTAGATACAGAGTGCCGATTGGTGTATTTACAATCGCTGGGCCAGACACAAATGTTCTCCATGGTCCCCACCAGACTCAGGAGCCCAGCTGGCTTCACCCAGTGGATCCTGTACTGGGGCTGCAGGTGGAGCTGCCTGCCACTCCCACGCCATGCGCCCACACTCTTCAGCCCTTGGGTGGTCGATGGGACTGGGAGCCATGGAGTAGGGGGTGGTGTTCATCAGGGAGGCTCGGGCATGGCGGGCTGCAGGTCCCAAGTCCTGCCCCGCGGGAAGGCAGCTAAGGCCCAGTGAGAAATAGGGCGCAGCGCTGGTGGGCTGGCACTATGGGGGAACCCAGTACACCCTCTGCAGCCACTGGCCCGGGTGCTAAACCCCTCATTGCCCGAGGCCGGCATGGCCGGCCGGCTGCTCCGAGTGCGGGGCCCGCCAAGCCCACGCCCACCCGGAACTCCAGCTGGCCCGCAAGCGCCGCGCACAGCCCCAGTTCCCGCTGGCGCCTCTCTCTGCACACCTCCCTGCAAGCTGAGGAAGCCGGCTCCGGCCTTGCGTGGCCAGCCCAGAAACGGACTCCAACAGTGCAGCGGCGGGCTGAAGGGCTCCTCAAGTGCCGCCAAAGTGGGAGCCCAGGCAGAGGAGGCACCCAGAGCGACCGAGGGCTGTGAGGACTGCCAGCATGCTGTCACTTCTCACTTTGTACTTTTAAAAGGAAAGAATTCAAATGAGAGACAGGCAAGGGAACATTTATTTTAAGCAATGTGAAAGTTCATTGGAGAAAGTAGGCTTGGAAGAGGGTCAAGCAGGAGACTTCAAAAATCAAGTGCTGCTTCCGCTTTGATTTTTTTTTTTTTTTGGACGGAGTCTCGCTCTATTGCCCAGGCTGGAGTGCAGTGGTACAATCTCAGCTGACTGCAACCTTTGTCTCCAGGGTTCAAGCGATTCTCCTGCCTCAGCCTCCCGAGTAGCTGGGACTACAGGTGCTTGCCACCACGCCTGGCTGATTTTTTGTATTTTTAGTAGAGACAGGGTTTCACCATGTAAACCAGGATGGTCTTGATCTCCTGACTTCATGATCCACCTGCCTCAGCCTCCCAAAGTGCTGGAACTACAGGCGTGAGCCACCACCCCAGGCCTGCTTACAGTTTTTATACCCCTTACTCTTTTCCAGGCTGTCTCCACTCTTTGTTCTTCACCTCCCGGGCTGGCCCTCAAGTATTGCATGCCCAGTAGCCCTCCCAGTAGGCGCTGGATGGTTACTGAAGTTGTGCGCATGCCCATTAGATGCAATTCTCCCTTACTGGTCGAGCGCCCCTAGAGGAAAGTCATACACCGGGTAAATTTCACACCTT